>NC_000013.11:86556009-86859039 GCF_000001405.40 Homo sapiens | reverse complement strand
TACTAACATTGCTTCATGGCTCATTCAATGCAAGCAAGAGAAAGATAAATGGTTCAAAATACAAAAGAAAATACCATTTTTAGGAATGCAAAAATCTAAAGGATGAAATCATTTTAATCAGTGCAGAACTTTAGAGTTAGAATGTTTCATAAATATTATATTGTCCTTAAGTCATTTGTCTCCTAATATAAACAAATAACAAGTTAATAGACAAGTTGAATTTATTGTCTCCATTGATAAGGGAAAACACCATGTTTCAAAGCTCTGTCAGTATCTCTGAGAAGGTAAACTCTGAATCTAGTCAGATTTGGAAGTTCAATTAAAGGAGGGTGGTTCAAGGAGAGGACTTGATTGGATTTGGTAAAGCTAATAAAACCAACATAGGATTGTTGGGAATGTATGAAAAGGATTTTAAGAGGAGGAATTTATAGCAACTTAGCCCCCAAATTGTTGATACTTTCTGTTGAGGAGTCATAAGTCTTTCAGAAACTTTCTATAATGAATATGCAAACCATTCTTCTTGGGAAGGATCATTTAGGAAAATTAAAATAATGCTAATGAAGACCATGGAATAGTAGAATTATGTTAATATAGACAGTAAAGCATGGTTTATGTTGTCAGTGTCTAGGCTGAGTGTTTGGGTAGGTAGTTTTGTTTTTGAATGACATCATTAAGATTAATGTGCACATAATCATAGAAATGTATCATTTAAATAATAGCAATCTGAAAACTGGATTTTTAATAGTTTGCAATGACAAATAAATGAAATAAATGCCCTCACAGTATCTCTTCAACCAACAATGGAGCAGCTTGTGCACCTACTTAACATTCACATAGTCCCTTTGGAGACCACCATATTGCCAGAAAACCAACTGAGGCCAAAGGAATTTCAAAGCTTTCTCCAAGGTTATTGAACAGGAGTAGATTAGACATATTACTGCTGCTTTTTTAAAATATAGATTCTGACCAGCCAGGCTCAGATGGGGAACATAAAGAAAAGAGAAAGATACAAAACTAATATTCCATAGAGTTATAAAAATTTAATTTACCAGCCCAGAAATGAGAAATATTTGTTAAATTATTTGAGAAGATATGTAATCATTATTTTAATTTTAATTTTGAGTAACTCACTTTTCTATATATGCTCTATATGCTCTCACAAATTTAATGGAAATAAATAATGGACATTAGTTATCACATAGTTTCCATAGTTGAAGTGTATGGGCATGGCAAAACTGGGTCTACTACTGGGGCATTCATCACTGCAATAAGGTGTCAGGGCTGGGGACTCATCTGAGGTTCTAGGTCATCTCCAAGCTCCAAGCTTACACAGTATTGGTAGAATGAATTTCCTCAAAGCCTTATATATCAGAGAAGAGTTTTGCTTCTTCAAAGACAGCAGAAAAAAATCTCTGATTTTCAGACTGTCTTTTAAAGGGCTAGCCTGATTAGGTCAAGCCTAAGGAGGATAATTTACTTTCTATTAACTTAAAGTCAACTTATTAGGGGCCTTTATTAAATTTTCAAAATCCTTTTACCTTGGCTATACTCCAACAAAACATGGTCACAGGAGTGCTATTGCTTCACCTTTGTCATATTCTATTGGTTAAAACCAAGTTAGACTGCACACAGTGGCTCAAGCCTATAATCCCAGCACTTTGGGAGGCTGAGACGGACAGATCACAAGGTCAGGAGATCGAGACTATCCTGGCCAACTTGGTGAAACCCTGTCTCTACTAAAAACACAAAAATTAACTGGGTGTGATGGCGCGTATCTGTAATCCGAGCTACTCAGGAGGCTGAGAGACGAGAATCCCTTGAATCCAGGAGGCGGAGTTTGGAGTGAGCACTGCATTCCAGCCTGGTGACACAGTGAGACTCCAACTCAAAAAAATACAGGACTGTTCATTTAAGAGAAACACTGGAGTCATGTTACAGTTTGGCCTATCACAAAAATCGTTACTGCTTTTAAAGTATTTATTAGAAAGGTATAACTTATTCAAGATAAGCTATTAGCCATGACTTATATATATATATATATATATTTAAATAAATTTTGATTTATTTTCCTATTATATCAAGGGACTACTTCTAGGACACAACTTCAGCTTTGTAATTCCTGACTAGTTTAATGGGTTGAATTATCCAGATTTCTTTCATTCTCTTTTTTTTTTTTTTTTGACGGAGTTTCGATCTTGTTGCTCAGGCTGGAGTGCAATGGTATGATATCAGCTTACCACAACCTCCACCTCCAGGGTTCAAGCGATTCTCCTGCCTCAGCCTCCCAAGTGGCTGGGATTACAGGCACGTGCCACCATGCCTGGCTAATTTTGTATTTTTAGTAGAGATGGGGTTTCTCCTTGTTGGTCAGGCTGGTCTTGAGCTCCTAACCTCAGGTGATCCACCGGCCTTTTCCTCCCAAAGTGCTGGGATTACAGGCATGAGTCACTGCGCACGGCCCCAGATTTATTTCTTTTTCACTGTAGTAGTGAGTCAGACACATTAGTATAAACTGTTTCAAGAACACATTGGTCTATATTGAGTACAAGTTACTGTAATGACTCACAGGGGTCTATCCTACCTTTAGAAAGCAAAGTAATTTTTCATAATGGGCAAATGCATGAATTAATAATTTTTGATGGTTTTATACAATGCTACTATGAATATTTTCACATATGTGTAACCACTTTTATAGGTGATACCTGGGAGTGGAATACTTGCGTCTCAGAATATATACATATTCACACTCATCAAATATGCAAATAGTACTCCAAGGTTGTTAATCCAATTATAACTCAACTAGTGATGCATAAAAGTTCTCACTACTCTACATGCCCCCACAACCTTTGGCTTTGCAGAATTTCTTGTCTTGTCAACTTAAATGTTATGGGTATTTCTTGGCATATCCTTGATTGTTAGATTCTATTTTCTCTGTTTTTAATGATATTAAGCATTATGTTTCTCATTTTATATTTATATTTGAGAACTGCCTATTTAAGTCTTTTGCCCATTCATTTACACAATTCTCTATGTTTCTCTGTATTGGGAGATGTGAGCCTTTTATGTATTATCTATCAAAAATTTAACTGCTTACATGTATGGCATGCATTATCCCTAGCTGGTGATTTAGATTTACTATTCTACTTATATTTTCGTTGAAAAAGATTTTTTTTCTAACTTTTAAGGTAATATAGTCAAATTTGAAATATTTTTCTCCATAGTGATTTTGTGTTTGCTGAAAAACAGAAAAAAGACCTGTCCCTGGCCAGGCACGGTGGTTCACGCCTGTAATCCCAGCACTTTGGGAGGCCGAGGTGGATGGATCACAAGGTCAGGAGATCGAGACCATCCTGGCTAACACACAGTGAAACCCCGCCTCTATTAAAAATACAAAAATTTAGCCGGGCATGGTGGCGGGTGCCTGTAGTCCCAGCTACTCAGGAGGCTGAGGCGGGAGAATGGCATGAACCCAGGAGGCGGAGCTTGCAGTGAGCCGAGATCACACCACTGCACTCCAGCCTGGGTGACAGAGCGAGACTGTCTCAAAAAAAAAAAAAGACCTGTTCCCTGTCCCCCTTTAAGTCATGTCAATTGTGTTTTATTTATTTAAAAGATTATTTCACTTTTAACACTTAGATCTTTAATCTACTGAAATTATTTTACTGTAAAAGTGAAAGTGTAGTTCATTTATTTTCATACGGATTCCCAATTCAATAAACACCATTAGTGAAACTTCTATAATATACACTACTCTTTTTGAAAACCACCCTTTTCTATATATTACGTGACCAGATGGCTTAGTCCTTTTGGGCCACTATAACAAAATACCATAAACGGAGTGACTTTTAAACAACAGAACTTTATTCCATACAGTTCTGGAGGCCAGGAATGCCAAGATAAAAGCATCACCAGATTCAATGTCCGATGAGGAATTTCTGATTCATAGACAGTATTTGGTAGCTGTGTCTTCACAATGCGAAGGGGTGAATTAGCTCTCTGGTGTCTATAAGTGCACTATTCCCATTATAAGAGTCCTAATCCCATGACCTAGTCACTCCCCAATGCCTTTACATCTTAATACTATTACCTTGGGATTAGATTTCAACACTGAAAATTTGAGGTAGATACGAACGTTCATACAACAGCACAGACGTGAGAGTATATTTTTATATACTTTTTAATCTATGCTAATGTTAGTACCATACCTTCTTAATATAAATTTATATTAATGATTTGTTTCTAATAGAACATTTTTCCCACTTCGTTATTTTTATTCAAATTGTCGTATACATAATATAACCAATATAATAATGTCTATGAGAAAGAGTTGGAATAGTGAAAAAGCCAAATGTTATCTAATTCAAGATTTGATATGTATTTCTAAAACTGCACCGAATATATACAGATTTCTTTTCAAGAGGGAAACTACAAATAAAAAACTTAAACATTGAAGTTGTAGATACAATATTTTATAGTAAATAATTTATGTTACAGGTAATATTTGAAAATTAATGTTGGGAGAATTATACAATTGTACTAGTCTTTTTTTAACACCTACATACAAAATGATATGGGAAGAAGTTACATAAAAATTGAGTAAAAATAAAGCAACTATTTTTTCTGGTTTGCATTTTAATAATCTACTCTTAATTATTCATACATACACTTATTTTAAATCTCTTCAATTTAATTTAATTTTATGATTTTTACATATACTTATTAAATTTTTTTTATAAAAAGTACTGTTAAGGCAACATTATATATTTGTAAGGTGAAAAACATTTGCTTTTGCATGTTCATTAGCCACCAGAAATTCTTCTCTTGCATTAACTCATAAACTTCTCACAATAAATGTTTGAAGTCTGAATTCTCATTACCATTTAAAATAATAATATTGAAGTACACGGGAGTTAATTAAATTGCTAAGTTTTATATGAATGTTTTAGTGCAGATCTGTGATTCACGCTAAGGTCTTTTTATCTGCATTTTGTACTTTTTGCCTTAGTAACCATCTAACCAAAAAAAAAAAAATGCTGCATTTAAAATATTTGTTTTTTCAGTATTTATATCTACAAAAAGCAATATTGTTTTTATTTTTGTATTTTTAACATAACTATTTTTTTGTTTTTCTTAACCTAGGATCTGTGACTCAATTTTTTTTTCAGCTTTTATTTTAGGTTCAGAGGTACATGTGCAGGTTTATTAATACAAGCAAACTCATGTTATGGCGGTTTGTTATACAGAACGTTTTGTCACCAAGGTACTAAGCATAGTACCCAATAGTAAGTTTCCTGATCCTCTCCCTGCTCCCAATCCCCTCCCTCAAATAGGTCTCAGTGTTGGCTGTTTCCTTTTTCATGCCCATTGGTTCTCATTATTTAGCTCCCACTTATAAGTTAGAACATACATATTTTTTTTTCTGTTCCTCCATTAGTTTACTAACAATAATGACCTCCAACTCCATCCATGTTCTTGCAAAGGACATGATCTCATTCTCTTTTATGGCTGCATAGTATTTCATGACGTATATGTACCACATATTCCTTATCCAGTCTACCATCAATGGACATTTAGGTTGAGTCCATGTCTTTGCCGTTGTGAATAGTGCTACAATGAACATATGTGCACATGTGTCTTTATGGTGCAATTTTTTTTTTTTGAGATAGACTCTCACTCTGTCACCCAGGCTGGAGTGCAGTGGCTCAATCTCGGCTCACTGCAACCTCTGCTTCCTGAGTTCAAGTGATTCTCCTGCCTCAGCCTCCCAGGTAGCTGGGATTACAGGTGCCCACCACCATGCTCGGCTAATTTTTTAAATTTTATTAGAAACGAGGTTTCACCATATTGACCAGGTTGATCTCAAACTCCTGAACTTGTGATTTGCCCGCCTCATCCTCCCAAAGCGCTGGAATTACAGGTGTGGGCCACTGTGCCTGGCTATTGTATAATGTTTTGTATTCTTTTGGGTATATACCCAGTAATGAGATTTCTGGGTCAAATGGTAACTTTATTTTTAGTTATTTGAGAAATAACCACCCTGCTTTCCACAATAGTTGAACTAATTTACACTCCCACCAGCAGTGTGTAAGTGTTCCCTTTTCTCTATAACCTTGACAGAAACTGTTATTTTTTTGACTTTTTAAAAAATAGCTATTCTGACTGGTATGAGATGGTATCTCATTGTGATTTTGATTTGTATTTCTCTAATGATTAGTGATATAGAGCATTTTTATATGCTTGTTTGCTACATTTATATCTCCTTGTGAAAAGTGTCTATTCTTATCCTTTGCCTACTTTTTAATGGAGAATTGTTATTTGCTTATAAATTTAAGTTCTTTACATATTTTGGATATGAGACCTTTGTCAAATGCATAGGTTGCAAATATTTTCTCCCATTCTGAAGATTATGTGTTTACTCTCTTGATAGTTTGTTTTGCTATGCAGAAGCACTTTAGTTTAATTAGATCTCATTTGTCAATTTTTACTTTTGTTGCAATTGCCTTTGGTGTCTTTGTCATGAAATCTTTGCCAGTTTTTATGTCCAGAATGATTATTCCTTTCAGGGTTTTTATAGTTTTAGGTTTTACATTTTAGTCTTTATTTTGAGTTGATTTTTGTATATTGTGTAAGGAAGGGGTTCAGTTTCAATCTTCTGCAGATGGCTAGCCAGTTATCTCAACACCATTTATTGAATATGGCAGAGTCCTTGCCTCATTGCTTGTTTTTGTCAGGTTTGCCAAAGATCAGATGTGTGGCCTTATTTCTGGGGTCTCTATTCATTTGTATTGCTCTATGTGTCTGTTTTGGTACCACTTTCATGCTGTTTTGGTTACTGAAGCCCTGTATTATAGTTTGAAATTGAGTAATGTGATGCTTCCAGCTTTGTTCTTTTTGCTTAGGATTGCCTTGGCTATTCAGGCTCTTTTTGGTTCCATATGAATTTTAAAATAGTTTTTTCTAGTTATGTGAAGAATGTCATAGGTAGCTTGATAGGAATAACATTGAATCTGTAAATTGCTTTGGGCAGCAAGACCATTTTAGCAATATTGATTCTTCCTATCCATAAGCATGGAATGTGTTTTCATTTGTTTGTGTCATCTCTGATTTCTTTCAGCAGTGTTTTGTAATTTTAATTGTCGAGATCTTTCACCCCTGGTTAGCTGTATTTTTAGATATTTTATTCCTTTTGTGGCACTTGTGAATGGGATTGTGTTCCTGATTTGGCTCTCAGCTTGGATGTTGTTGGCATATAGAAATGCTACTGATTTTTGTAAATTAATTTTGTATACTGAAATTTTGCTGAAGTTATGTATAAGATTAAGGAGCTTCTGGGCAGAGACTATGGGGTTTTCTAGATACAGAATCATGTCTTCTGCAATCAGGGATAGTTTAACTTCCTCTATTCCTATCTGGATGCCTTTCATTTTTTTCTCTTGCCTGATTGCCCCAGCCAGGACTTCCTATACTATATTGAATAGAAGTGGTGAGGACTTCCAATACTATATTGAATAGTGTTGTCTGGATTTTGTGCTGGTTTTCAAGGGGAATGCTTCCAGTTTTGCCCATTCAGTAGGATTTTGGCTGTAGGTTTGTCATAGATGGCTCTTATTGTTTTGAAGTACTTTCCTTCTATGCCTAGTTTATTGAGGATTTTTAACATGAAAGGATATTGTATTTTATCAGAAGTGTTTTCTGCATGTATTGAGATAATCATGTGTTTCTTCTCTTTAATTTTGTTTATGTGATGAATCACGTTTATTGATTTACATTAGTTGAATCAACCTGTTATCCCAGGGATAAAGCCTAATTAATTTACTGTGGTGAATTAGCTTTTTGATGTGCTGTTGGATTCGATTTGCTAGGATTTTTTGAGAATTTTTGCATCGTGTTCATCAAGAATACTGGCCTGAAGTTTGCTCTTTTTTGTTGTTTCTCTTTGCCAAGTTTTAGTATAAGGATGATGCTGGCCTCACAGAATGAGTTGGGGAGGAGCTCCTCCTCCTCAGATTTTTTGGAACAGTTTCAGTAGGAATGGTACCAGCTCTCCTTTTTATATCTGGTAGCATTCAGCTAGGAATCAGTCTGGTCCTAGGCTTTTTTTGATTGGTAGGCTATTTATTGCTGATTCACCTTGGAGTTCATTATTGGTCTGTTTAGGGATTCAGTTTCTTCCTGGGTTAAGTCTTGGGAGAGTGTACGTGTCCAGGAATTTATCCATTTTTTCTAATTTGTGTGCCTAGAGATGTTCATTGCAGTCTTTGATGGTTATTTGTATTTCTGTGGGGTAAGTGGTAATATCCCCTTTGTCATTTCTAATTGTGTTTGTTTGAATTGTCTCTCTTTTTTTCTTTATTAGTCCAGCTAGTAATCTGTCTTCTTATTAATTTTTTTAAATAACAAATGCCTGGATTTGCTGATGTTTTGAATGTTTACTTTTTTCTGCATGTGTGTCTCAATCGCCTTCAGTTCAGCTCTGATTTTGGTTATTTCTTATCTTCTGCTAGTTTTTGGGTTGGTTTGCTGTTGCTTCTCTAGTTCTAGTTGTGATTTTAGATGGTTAATTTGAGATCTTTCTAACATTTTGAGGTAGAGGTTTAGGTTTAATTTTCCTCTTAAGACTTCCTTATCAGTGCCAGAGATTCCGGTGTAGTGTATGTTTGTTCTCAGTAGTTTCAAAGGACTTCTTGATTTCTGCCTTAATTTCATTATTTGCCCAAAAGTCACTCAAGAACAGGGTGTTTAATTTCCAAGTAAATGCATGGTTTGAGTGATTTTCTTTGTATTGAATTATATTTTTATTGTGCTGTGGTCTAAGAGTGTGGTGGTATAATTTTGATTCTTATGAATTTGCTGAGGATTATTTTATGTTAGATTGTGTGGTCGATTTTAGAGTATGTGCCATTTGGTGATGAGAAGAATATATATTCTGTTGCTTTGGGATAAAGAGTTCTATAGATGTCTATTAGGTCCATTTGATCAAATTTCAGTTCAAGTCCTGAATATCTTTGTTAATTTTCTGTCTTGATGATCTGTCTAATACTGTCAATGAGGTGTTGAATTCTCCCACTGTTATTGTTAGGGAGTCTAAGTTTCTTCATATGTCCCTGAGAACTTGCTTCATGAATCTGGGTGCTTCTGTGTTGAATGCATATATATTTAGGATAGTTAGGGCTTCTTGTTGAATTAAACCCTTTACCATTACATAACGCCCTTCTTTGTCTTTTTTGATCTTTGTTGGTTTAAAGTCTGTTTTGTCTGAAATTAGGATTGCAACCCCAGTTTTATCTGATTTCCATTTGATTGGTAGATTTTTCTCCATCCCCTTATTTGGAGCCTCTGGATGTCATTGCATGTGAGATGGGTCTCTTGAAACAGGATACCACTGTGTCCTGCTTCTTTTTCCAGCTTGCCACTCTGTGCCTTTTAATTGGCATGTTTAGTCCATTTAAATTCAAAGTTAGTATTGATATGTGTAAATTTGATCCTGTCATCATGTTATTCACTGATTGTTATGCAGGCTTGTTTGTGTGGTTGTTTATATTGTCATTGATCTGTGTACTTGAGTGTTTTTGTATTGGCTGGTAACCATTTTTCCTTTTCGTATTTAGTGGTCTTTTCAGAAGCTCTTGTAAGGCAGGTCTGGTGGTAACAAAGTCCCTAAGCACTTGTTTGTCTGAAAAAGATCTTATTTCTCCTTCACTAATGAAGCTTGAATTGGTTGGATATGAAATTCTTGGTTAGAGGTTTTTTTTCCTTGAAAATATTGAATATGGGTCCCCAATTTCTTATGGCTTATAGAGTTCTGCTGAAGGTCTGCTGTTAGCTTTTTGGGGTTCCCTTTGTAGGTGACTTCCCATTTCTCTCTGTCTTTAATATTTTTTCTTTCATTTTGATCTTAGAAAATCTGATGATTATGTGTCTTTGGGATGATCATCTTGCGTAGTATTTTTCAAGGGTTGTCTGGATTTCCAGAATGTGAATATTGGCCTCTCTAGTGAGGTTAGGCAGGTTTTCATTAATGATGTCCTGAAATATGTTTTCCATGTTGCTTGCTTTCTCTTTTTCTCTTTCAGGGACACCAGTGATTCATGGATTGGGTCTCTTTATATAATCACAAGTTTCTTTACATAATGATGTCATTTTGTTCATTCCTTTTATTTTTTCTTATTTTTTGTTTGATTGTCTTATTTTAAAGATCCAGTCATCAAGCTCTGAGATTCTTTCCTCAGCTTGGTCAATTCTAATGTTAATACTTGTGATTACAGTATAAAAATCTTATAGTGTGTTTTTCAACTCTACCAGGTCAGTTAGGTTCTTCTTTATACTATCTATTTCATCTGTCAGCTCTTCTGTCATTTTATTGTGATTCTTAGCTTCCTTAAATTGGGGTTTGACATTCTCCTGTATCTCCATTATCTTTGTTTCTTTCCATATTCTGATTTTATATCTGGCATTTCAGCCTAGTTAAGGACATTTGGTGGAGAATAAGAATCCTTAACTAGGCTGAGATGGCTAGTTTGGTCATTAGGAGGACAGAAGACACTCTGACCATTTAAGTTGCCAGAGTTCTTATGCTGGTTCTTTCTCATCTCTGTGGGTGTTCCTTTAGCTGTGGTGTAGGTTGAGTACAGTCAGTTGAATTCTTTTTTTTTGGATGTTTCCAGAGGGCTGAAGCTCTGTGAAAAGTCTTTATGTGTAGCTGACTCCTTGTATTTGGTTTCACAGTGTGGTATGGTAGTAAAGTATTTTTGACATTTAAATTTTGGAATATGATCCAGTAAATAGCACTTAACCATAATGTAGAGTAGGTAGACTCTTGCTCAACCACATGGCTCCTCTGTGTTTCCTTACAGTTGCAGCCATGCTCCCTCTCAATGCACTGAAAGTATGTGCTCCTTTAACATTTGAGTGTTAACTGCATTTCATGGCTTGGCACTCCCAGTCTGCCCACCACAGCCCTGGGGCAATCTCAAGGTTTATGTTCTCTTCCCAACTTGCAAGTACCAGAGAAAGGGAACTTAGCAGTGCTTGTGGGCAAGGGTCTTTCACTTTTCTCCTGGGGCTCCACCCCAGAGACATGCAGAGCTGTCACCAAACAGCCCCATTGGCCCAGTATAAGGGGCTGTACTCTGGGCCCAAGCTGTGGGGGCTTAGCGAGGGCACCTTGCCTGGTGCCAAGCAGGGGGAGTGGTTGGGACCTGTGGAAGACAGACTGGCCTCCTCTCCTTAGGGTTACTGCAGCTTGCTGGAGGTCTGGATAAATAACTTAGGGTCTTTGTTCCTTCTCCAGTCTAAGAAAAGCAGAGGCAGTGATGGAGGGGCTTTTGGTTGCCCTGGGAGCTCCACCTCTGACAGACACAAAGATACTGCTACAGGGAGTGTTCAGCCAGCGGGTGAGGCAGCTGCACTGCTAGCATGAGCTGGGGGTTCCACTTGTTGTGGAGCATGGATGAAGAGCTCACAGATAGGACAGACTGATCTCTCTTACGGTGATGATGGCATACTGTAAGCTCTGGTGTAGCCCTCAAATTTTGTTTCTTCCCCAGACCAAGGGCAACAGGAGTGGAACCACTGTTGTGGTGTGTCCAGAATTTATTCCTTCTGATGCATTCTTGGTCTCGCTGACTTCAATAATGAAACCGTAGACCTTTGCAGTGAGTGTTACAGCTCTTAAAGATGGTGTGTCTGGAGTTTGTTCCTTCAGATGTTCAGATGTGTCCGAAGTTTCTTCCTTCCGGTGGGTTCGTAGTCTCGCTGACTTCAGGAGTGAAGCCGCAGACCTTTGCGGTGAGCGTTACAGCTCTTAAAGGTGGTGCAGACCCAAAGAGTGAGCAGCAGCAAGAATTATTGTGAAGAGCGAAAGAACAAAGCTTCCACAGCGTGGAAGGGGACCCCAGTGGGTTGCGGCTGCTGGCTGGGATGGCCAGTTTTTATTCCCTTATTTGGCCCCAACCATGTGCTGCTGATTGGTCCATTTTACAGAGCACTGATTGGTCCATTTTTCAGAGTGCTGATTGGTGCATTTACAATCCTTTAGCTAGACACAGAAAATTCTCCAAGTCCCCACCTGACCCAGGAAGTCCAGCTGGCTTCACCTCTCAGTGGCAGTGGCAGAGGGGCTGTTGTTTCCTCTGGGAGCCTCTCCCCAGTGAAACTCAGAGTCACTACCAGTGGGTATGCTCAGTCTGTGGGGCTTCTGTTCTGCAGTCCTGAGCTGGGGGTCCTGCCTAGTTGAATGTTTTGGGTGGGGTTTCCCAGGATAGAAGGACTGGGCTCCCCACAGTACGTTGTGTGCTCTGTGCTGAAGATGCCTGTGTAGTGACTAAGCCTTTGTTCCTTCCTCAGCTGGAGGGTGGTTAGGGTGTTACCACTGCAGCTGCAATAATGGAGAGGCTGTGGGTTGACTCTGGGATTTCCTCCTCAGAGAAATGTTGAGCTACCTCTGATTTAGGTGATCAGGTAGGGGGTGTGGTGGTTATGCTGGAGTCCCAGGTCAAGAGGCTCTGCCCAGTAAGGAGAAGTAAAGTCTGGGACCTCTGTGGAGGACATTCCCATCGCTTTTTTGTGTGTGGCGGCTGTACTGTGCTAGGGGTCCACACCAGCCCCCCCTTCCCCTTGAGACTCTCCAGAGCCTGGAGACAGCAAAGACGAAGGCTGCGGAATGGAAAAGATTACAGCCCACCCCTCCCTCTGTGAGCTCCATCTCAGGGAAGTGCAGAGTGGGTGAAGGCTTGAGAACACTGTGGGGGGCCGCTAGAATCCCAGGTCAGTGGGTCTTGGACTTTGTAAGATGTCATGCAAGTGAAGCCTGCATACCATTGCTGCCTAGCCCCCTCACTCAGCCCCTTTTTGGGGTAAGATAAGGAAGGCTAATATCCCCCTTTGCCAGAGCTCCAGCTACTTATTGCCTGGATGCCCAGGGATCCACTGCTTCTAGGATTCTGCATGTGTCTGAGAAGCAGCTCTGCTAAGATACCATGTATCTCTGCATGTCAGACTGAAGGCTCTGGTGAAATGGGTTCACAGGGGATCTCCTGACCCCAAGGTGACAAAGATCCATGGAAGAAGTGTGGGACCCCAGGGTCTCCCACTCACTCACCATTTCCCTGGGTTGAGGAGCCTCCCCTGGTTCCTTGTTGCTCTCAGGTGGACGGTCATCCTGTTTTGCTCCTATCCATTCTCTGCTATTTCCTTGACTAATCCAAATGAGTGCACCTGAATGTTTCAGCTGAGGGTATATTCACTCATCACTTTTCTTTCTTGCCATGAGAATGACTCACACTAACTGCTTCTTGTCGGCCATGTTCCCTCAGCATAACATAACATTTTACATGGTTATGTCTCCTAAATTCTTATAGTTTTTTCTAAAATTTCAATTTTTTCGAGTGCAGTATTAAACATCATGATACAGAGATTTGAGATCAATCCCCTAATAAATGTATATATACCCAATATTTCCACTTAATAACATGTTGACATTTATCCATTAATACCATTGACATCTGATGTAACAATACAGTTTAGTCAAATTCAGTACTCATATACTTATGTTTTCTACATCATGTCCTTATTAAACACAGCAATATGTGTCTAGACTATATATTAGATTAGTCATAAAGAACTTACAACGTTTTTGTGTTTGTGCTGGGAAGCTACAAAATGTGCAAACTACCAGAGAACCTAGTTCTGAATAAAAACATAACTAACAAATACTGAATGTAGAAGCAGGATTTTAAAAAGCTCTCCCCAAAAGACTGAAATTTTAAATGTCTCCAATGACCCAGACAATATTTTCCCTTTATAAACTATGGTGCCAGTGATAACATGGAGTGTTCTATGTCAGTTGCAGAAAGTATGTTGCAGTTTTATGTACATTTGTGTGTGTGTGTGTGTGTGTGTGTGTGTGTGTGTGTTTTAATATTAGAAAGAGGTGCTATTTTTCCTTAACATGGAGTTTTAAGTGGAAGCCAACCCAAGGCTAAACTGAACTAATATTTCAAGTGATTTTACGAAGACTGTCATCCAGTATCATCCTCAGGGTTGCTCTCAGTAGCTATTCCTGTGGCCAAAGGAAAAAGCATTTTTCAAAACTGTTTTCAGAACTTTAACTTGGGATTCAATGATGAAGATGACTGGTGTGTGAAAAGCTAAAGTGTTATTTTCTTCACGTTGTTTATAACTCTCCAAATTTGTTTGAAACACCTGCTCATTGGATAAAAGGGACAAAGATTGTTTCCCAGTTTAAACTCAGGCATAACTAAGGAAAATGATTTCATTTCAACAGTGTTTCATTCTCTAATTCAATGTATGAAAAATATATGTTCATACTTGATTTTATCCATCTGAAAAAAAACCTCTGAATTTTGTGTTAGAGATATTACTGCTTGAGAGAAAGTTATGCTAGTCATCATGCAAAATGTTCCAGATACTCAACTCACCCATGCACACTATTATTTTCCCCATTATTATTTAAGCATCTTGCCTTAGTTTATGTTATCACATAAATCCTCAGGAAATAAAATCCATTCTAAAACATTTAAACACCTTAAAGAGAACTTTCATTTCTTATGTTCTTATCATTTGTAGGGGCTAATATTTATCAGACTTTTCCTTTCATCACAACCAAGAAGTGATAAAAATTTTCCTAAATTACACTTTATGACAATGAACTGCACACAATTTAAATGTAATTTGTTGTGCAGAAAGTATTTTCTTAAAAAATATTAATTGATCTCAGTGTACAGACATTAATTTAAAAACACAATGAAATGTAATCAAGGTTGAGAAGACCCTGCTTACATTGTCTCTGAGACATGATAATTTCCCAGTAGTATAATGATCTCTAATAAAAATAAAAAATCAGAAGGACATAGGAACATAATAAATTTTCAGTTGGAAATCAAATTAAGTCGAGAAAATAGAAAGGTATTTTTCTTTCAGAGGGAGAAAAAAGCCTTACACAAATTGAGAGCTTCGTTGAGATTATTTTAGATTCACTTTTTTTTGTGACAGAAAAATCACCTTAATAGTCTTTTGAAATTTTTTGAAATGTTCAACACTTAAATAAAATTTTAAATCATTTATCTATTTTGTTATGTCTAATGCCAGCACGCAATATATATTATTGTCTTAGAGTAGGTATTAACTTATTTTCATAACATTGTATTGCATATTTAATTAGCCATAACAGGATAAGTCAATAATTAAAAGTGGCATCTGTGTTGAATATCTTAAAAATATCAAAAGTCACTTTATTTTGAATAAATTTGAAAGCTTATATACAATGAATTGAAAAATATAATTAAAACTGGCTATTTGGTAGTGGAATGAGTTTAAATCTCTAATAAATAATTTTATCTAAATCAGTTTTAACAGACTCCAAGACCATAAAACAAGTAGCTATGAAGAATGTATTTGGTTACCTTTATGTTTATTTTTCAAAATATATTTGGAATCATTTTGACAGTAGATAGCTTTAATGACCAAAATTTTGTATTACCTTTGTTTGTATTTGCATTGTGTAAACATAACTCACAGCATATCAAATAGGATTTAAAAGTGTGAAAATTTACTTTTTTTACATTAAATTGAAAAAATATATAAATTTCTGATTCAACCCACTTAATACTATTGTTTTGTCCACTTATCCAATAACTTGGAGTCAGAAACTAGGATTATTTGAAATGGTAACACATTCAAAGACCATATCAGACAAAAACTTCACTATTTTAACTTGAGCTTTGCTTAGACTTATTTTTATCAAACACACAAAAAAAAGACAGACATTTTCCCCTAGTATTTAAGAGTCCAAAAGAAATAATTATTTGAGGCCAATGACTAGAGAAAATTGATACAAGGAGGCCAAGTATTCAGTGAGTAGAGCAAGGTGCAACAGATGCTCAAATTATTTGTTACAGATTATGTAATTCAGCATACAAACATGCAGTGGAAAGTGGACATTTTAAAATAAAAATGAATGTTACAAAAATTGGATTTTAGCAGTAGTTTGGCCATGTGAATAAGGAAATTTTAACTGTTTGAATTTGCAAGCAGAATTATTCACAATAATCACGGTATGGAATCCACCTAAGTGCGCACTAGTAGAAGAATGGATAAAAAATGTGACATGTATATATATGAAATACTATTATAAAACTGTAAAACTACAATGGAATACTGTTTAATTATTAAAAGACAGGGAATTCTGTCATTTGCAACATGGATTGACTTGGAGGACATTGAGTAAGTGAAATAAGCCAGGCATAAAAAGGTAAATACCACGTGATCTCACTCATATGTGAAACCAAAGAAAACTGAACTCATAGAATTAGACAGTAGAATGGTGGTTATCAGGAGCTGGGGTGGAAGGTAGGGTAGCAGGGGAAGGTTTAGAAGATGTTGGTTAAAAGATAACAAAATTTTACATATGAATAGGTTTATTTAGATAAGAGGAATTACTTTAAGCAATCCATCATATTTAATATATTGCATTCTTGAAAATGCTGAGAGATGTAAAATGTTCTCATCAAAAAACTGAAAACTGTGAGATAATGTATATGTTAATTAGCTAGATTCACTTATTTCACAATGTAGATATATGTCAAAACATCATATTGTGCACTAAATACATACTTTTATCTGTTAAAATTTTTAAATCTTCAAGCGGAGTACATCTAGAAACTACTTTTATTGGAAAAGATGGACTTATCAAGGAAGATATGAGTAGAGCAAAAGTGAATTAATATTCTGGAGAATCAGGGTATCAGACCTGCAAACAACATGGATTCACACAGAAAAGAGGTAAGAATTTAACTACTGAAACAAGATTACAACATGCAGCCCAGGTCAATGAGTAAAAGTAAAAGGCTCTATTTATTTACATTGTATAACAAGGACAATTATAGATGTTAACTTTAAAATATACTGTGAGACTTATCCACCACATCCCCCACCTCCAACCACCCTCCCATCTCCAACACACAGAAACATACACATAGTAAACAAGCTGATTAGTTTCTAAATTCTGAAACAAAGCTAATACATCTCAGTGTTTGGTACCTAGTAAGCATTAAAAAATATTTTTTATTTGAAGAGTCGTTAAGAGAGTTGAATATGAGTAAAGAAAGATAAAGGGATCGTATCCAGATATAACTTGAATATTTAACTGTATATTGCAACCATTACTTTTGGTTACTGCACCTATATCTCCTGCAAAATAGCCAAGTTTCCCATGTGGAGCCAAGTAATAGATTTATCATGAAGTATTTTGAACTGATAGGTTAAAATTTAATTTTTTGTGTAATTAAATACTAATCAATTTTGTTCTGTCTCTTTCACTTAGTTTTTCAGTTAATTACCAAGATATTACTTTTATTAGCAATTGGTAACAATTAGTGTTAATGATGGCAGTGGCAGCCCCTCTGAAGCAGCTGCTGCCATGATGCCAGCTGCAGTGGGGTACAGGCCCAGGATATAAGTCCTCAGATTCAGACACCAAGGCAGGTAGTCCCCGGAGCTTCTCCCTAGGGCCTGCTGCCCTGGGAACACACCTCTGGAAGCCACTTTGGTGGGGCCAGGCCCAGTCACCCCCTGATGTGAAAGCAGTGTGGCTGGCCATGGAGGAGTGAACAGAGAGAGGCCCCAAGGCTGGGCTGGGCCCAGGGAGGTGCTGCTTTTGCACATGGATTCACTTGGAGGACATTGAGATAAGTGAAATAAGCCAGGCACCAAAAGGCAAATACCACATGATCTCACTCATATGTGAAACCTAAGAAAGCTGAATTCATAGAAAGCAGAATGGTGGTTATCAGGAGCTGGGCTGGAAGCAGCAACTCCTGGGTCAGCCCTGAGACTTGGAACTGGAGCTGTGCATCAGAGGCCTGTGTGGCAAGTGGGAGCATCCCAGGCTTCAAGAACCCAGCCAGGATGCAAGCACTACACCCAACCCATCGACAGCACCAAGTTCCTGCACCTCAACAAGAGGCTTTGTGCAGGGCTGCCCAGGGCTGCGTCCCTAGGATCTGCCCCACATGGAGGTGACCACTGAGCCTGACGCTCCCCATGGCCGGGCCCAGGGCCATGATCTGCTCCTGGAGGCGCCCCTCAAGCAGGGCCATCAGCTGGGAGAGGGGGAGACCCAGGCCACCCCTAAGCACTGGGGCCACAGAAAGAACTCACAGCAACATCACCCCACCTAGGATGACAGCCCAGGCCCAGAGAGTGAGGACACGAAGCCCCCGCCCCAAGCTGTGGTGAGGCCCAGCTGGGGCTGCATGCTCCTCAGAGCTGACAGGAGCTGGGGACAAGCAGGAACCCGTTCCTTCTGAGCTGACGGGATGGGAGTTCCCTGGGTGCAGCTGTAGCCACCCTCCCATGGTTGCGGACCCAGGCATCTCTGCATTCTTTGAGGCCCAGGAAGGCCCCCCAACTTTACCCCGCAGATTTGAAAGTGCCTGCTCCCAGTGTCTGGCTTCTCCCTGCTATCAGCACCCACTCTGATCTCAGGGCAAAGTTGGGGCAAGCCCAGGCACTGTCTGAGCCAGGCTGGATGTGCACATGCTCAGGGCAGTGTTAACACACCAGCCCCCTGCCACCTCAGGCCCCTGTGGACTTTGGGCATTGACAAGCATGGGAGGGAGGGTGAGGAGGTGCTGAGGACAGCCCAGTACTAGCATGCAGCCACTCCTTGATATGAAAAGCCTGGGCACCATGAACAGGCATGAGGCAGACAGGCTTCTGAATGGAAGGGAGTGGTCCCAGTGAAGCCCCACTTTCAAGCCAGGTTGGACCTGAAGCCTGGGGCTGGGCTGCCAGTCCTGCAGTCTGGAGAGGGATCTTGCATTACTTTTTTCTGGTGCTGCCAATGCCCCCGCTACATGGACCAGTCAGCACACGCTTCCTCTCCTCTGAGGCTCATAAAAACCCCCAGACTCAGCCAGACTCAAGGAGAGGATGGAGATGACATGATGACCAGCTGTAGAGAGGAGCTACCCTCTCTACTGAGAGCTGAAGAGTTGGTGGGATGACCTGCCCTCAGAGAGGAGCTACCCTCTCTGCTCACTGAAGAGAAGATGAAATGACCAGCTGCAGAGAGGAGCTACCCTCTCTGCTGAGAGCTGAAGAATTGATCGGATGACCTGCCCTCAGAGAGGAGCTACCCT
The DNA here is from genome assembly GCF_000001405.40 of Homo sapiens. Classification (NCBI taxonomy): domain Eukaryota; kingdom Metazoa; phylum Chordata; class Mammalia; order Primates; family Hominidae; genus Homo; species Homo sapiens. The sequence goes on along the minus strand of NC_000013.11, from coordinate 86,839,879 downwards.
CTCTGCTGACTAAAGAGAAGATGAAATGACCAGCTGCAGAGAGGAGCTACCCTCTCTGCTGAGAGCTGAACACTTGTTGGGACACCCTGCCTACAAAGAGGAGCTACCCACTGCTGGTCTTCTCTAAGCTGTTCTATCACTCAGTATAGCTCCTTTCATCTTGTTCACCCTCCACTTGTCTGTGTACGTCATTCTTCCAGGACACACAAAAAGAACCCAGTGTAACGGCAAGGTTCTTGCTTCGCCATGCCAAAGAATTGGTGTGGTAGCTGATCACAGCAAGTGATAGAGACACAGACCGATAGAGAGAAAAAGCTGTAGGCTTTATTGAGCAGAGTGAAAATACAAAGCTTCCACAGTGTGGAAGGGGTCCCGAACCGGTAGCCACTGCTGGTTTTGGGTGATTGCCTTTTAAACTCTTTAAGGCAGGAAATACGTGCGGCAGGAAGATGTTACTAGAGCGAGAAAAAAAGGAAGTAAATTATTTTGTGACATGTCTTAGATTTTGAGGAAAACCAGAATTGCAACTTAGGTTATATTTACTTTATGACCTTGCAGCGGCATGGCAAAGGAGACAGGATCTCACAGGACTTTACAAAGTATATTTACAAGGAATTGGAATTGGGAGTAGAGATAAGGTCTGCTGGCCACAGAAAAATGGGCAGTTAACATTCCTTTTACTTTAGTTTTGAGGGAGGGGGAATGGAGAGAGGGAGAGAGGACACAGGGAAACTTACAGCAACATTTTCGCTGTTTATATTTTTCTTGAGGAAGAAAACAAACGCACAAATCCTGGTGTTAGGAATAGTTTAAGCATATATCTTCAATATTATTCTTCCAGGACCAAAGTAAGTCCTGATGCAGGAAATGAGTGAGTTTCACAGCTTTTGGAGCCCTTACTCCATCCAGGAAGCCCAGCTGGCCCCTCCTCTCACCAGGACCCGCTCAATGGCAGGGCTAAAGGAGCTGTAACACAAACAGGGCTGAAACACGTTCCTTGCTTACCACATTGCAGGCAACAAGAAGAGAGAAAGAGAGAAGAGCTGCAGCCCTTTGGAGAGCCCAGACCTAGAAGCTTCCTGAGCCAGGGCTACGATATCCTCTTTGGGGTTCTGCAGTTTCTGGCATCTCCAAGCTTCTTGGAGCCACTGCATTTCCTGGTGTCAGCTGTGGAAGTTGCTTATGGTATGCCTGGTGTAGCCACAGCCTTGTAGGGAGCCAGCACCCGTGTCAATGCCTGGGACTGCATGTCCCATCACAGCGAGTGTGCCCGGCTGTGCTCACTGGCCATTCCCCATCCTCATTCACGCACTCCTTGCTGCTTCGTGCCTGTCTTGACCTTGGCAGGCATAGGATCCAGGCCGGTAGCAGGAGCTGAGTGCAGTCTGCCAGGCTGAGTGGGCAGAATGAGCCCTGCAGTCCAGAGCAAAACTCAGGCAAAGGTGCCAGTGGACACAGAGGTTTCTGATCAGTGAAGGGACACCCCAAGGATTCCGTAACATTAATGCAACACTTTAATGCATAGAGTGATTCACATACTAAGTAATGAGGCTCCTAACTACTAAGTGTTTAATTATGTAGAACTCCAGAATATGTAGAAACAAACAGCATAGTGCATGCAGTTAAATTCCTCTTATTATTAACTTCTTAAAACATCTCTCTAATATTTTTAAGTTACTTAATAATTAACTCATTACCAATCATTATTACTTAAGTTTACTTATTAAGGATATGAAATCAGAAATTTGATTTCCCAGGCACTATGACAATATCACTCCTAACATTGAATATTGAGAAAAATTATGGAGACAAATGTGTTAGTTTTCTTTCACTCCGTAGTAAACATCTACGTAGAGAAGTAAACAGCACCCATGTATTATCTCACAGTTTCTGTAGGTTAAAGTCTAGTCACAGTTTAACAGGTTTCTCTGATCAGAGACTCACAGGGTAACATCAAAGTATAATAATCTGGACTGTATTTTTTTAAGGCATTGAGAAAGAATCAATTTCAAGTACACTCAAATTGTCAAAGGTTTTTTTCTGGCAGTTGTAAGACAGATCCCTTGATTATTTGTTGATTGTCCGTTTGGTTTTACTCTCAAGTCTTAGCGCCCTCCCACATTCCTTGACACATGATATGGTTTGGCTGTGTCCCCATGCAAATCTCATTTTGAATTCCCATGTGTCATGGGAAGAACTTAGTGGGAGGTAATTGAATCATGGGGGCAAGTGTGTCCTGTGCTGTTCTTGTGATAGTGAATATGTCTCATGAGATCTGACAGTTTTATAAAGAGGGGTTTCCCTGCACAAGCTTTTCTTTTATCTGCCACTATGTGAGATGTGGTTTCACCTTCCACCGTGATTGTGAGGCCTCCCTAGCCATGTGGAACTGTAAGTCCATTAAACCTTTTTTTCTTGTAAATTGTCCAGTCTTGGGTATATCTTTATCAGCCATGTGAAAACAGACTAGTACAGTAAATTGGTACCAGTAGAGTGGGGCACTGTTGAAAAGATACCTGAAAATGTGGACGCAACTTTGGAACTGGATAACCAGCAGAGTTTAGAACAGTTTGGAGGGCTCAGAAGAAGACAGAAAAATGTGGGAAAGTTTGGAACTTCCTTCCTAGAGACTTGTTGAATTGCTTTGACCAAAATGCTGATAATAAGGACAATGAAATCCAGGCTGAGGTGGTCTCAGATGGAGATGAGGAACTTGTTGGGAACTGGAGCAATGGTGACTCTCGTTATGCTTTAGCAACAAGACTGGTGGCATTTTGCCCCAGCTGTAGAGATTTGTGGAACTTTGAACTTGAGAGACATGATTGAGGGTATCTGGCAGAAGAAATTTCTGAGCAGCAAAGCATTCAAGATGTGACTTGGGTGCTGTTAAAGGCATCCAATCTTAAAAGGGAAACGGAGCATAAATACTTTGTAAAATTTGCAGCCTGACAATGTGATAGAAGAGACAATTCCATTTTCTCGGGAGAAACTCAAGCTGGCTGCAGAAATTTGCATAAATAATGTGAAGCAGAATGTTAAATGCCAAGACTATGGGGAAAATGTCTCCAGGGCACATCAGAGACCTTCACAGAAACCTCTCCCGTCACAGGCCAAGAGGTTCAGGAGAAAAAAATGGTTTCACAGGCTGTGCACAGGGTCCCTCTGCTGTGTGCATTATAGGGACTTGGTGTCCTGTGTCCCAGCCACTCCAGCCATGTCTAAAAGAGGCCAAGGTACAGCTCAGGCTGTTGCTTCAGAGATTGGAAGCCTCAAGCCTTGCCAACTTCACATGGTGTTGAACCTGCAGGTGCACAGAAGTCAAGAATTGTGGTTTGGGAACCTCTGCCTGGATTTCAGAGGATGTATAGAAACACCTGGATGCCCAGGCAGAAGTTTGCTTCAGGGGTGGAGCCCTCATGGAGAACCTCTGCTAGGCCAGTGCAGAAGGGAAATGTGGGGTCAGAGCCCCCACACAGAGTCCCTACCAGAGCACTGCCTAGTGGACCTGTGAGAAGAGAGCCACCATCCTCCAGACCCCAGAATGGTAAATCCACTGAAAGCTTATACCATATGCCTGGAGAAGCCACAGACACTCAACATCACCCTTTGAAAGCAGCCAGGAGGGGGGCTATATGCTGCTCAAGACCGTGGGAACCCACCTTTTTGTCTCCAGCATGACCTGCATGTGAGACATGGAGTCAAAGGGGATCATTTTGCAGCTTTAAGATTTGTCTGCCCCGCTGGATTTTGAACTTGCATGGGGCCTGTAGCCCCTTTGTTTTGGCCAATTTCTCCCAGTTGGAACAGCTGTATTTTCCCAGTACCTTTACCCCCATTGTTTGTAGGAAGTAACTAGCTTGATTTTGATTTTACGGGCTCATAGGTGGAAGGGACTTACTTGTCACTGATGAGATTTTGGATTGTGGACTTTTGAGTTAATGCTGAAATGAGTTAAGACTTTGGGGGACTATTGGGAAGGCATGATTGACGTTGAAATATGAGGATATGAGATTTGAGAGGGGCCAAGGCAGAATGATATGGTTTAGCTGTGTCCCTATCCAAATCTCACCTTGAATTCTCACATGTTGTGGGAGGGAGCCATTGGGACGTAACTGAACATGGGGGCAATTCTTTCCGGTGTTGTTCTCATGATAGTGAATAAGTCTTAGGAGATCTGATGGTTTTAAGAGGAGTTTTTCTGCACAAGCTCTCTCTTTTTGCCTGCCACCATCCACATATGATGTGACTTGCTCCTCCTGTGACTTGCTCCTCCTTGCCTTCCACCATGCTTGTGAGGCCTCCATAGCCATGTGAACTGTAAGTCCATTAAACCTCTTTCTTTTGTAAATTGCCCACGCTCAGGTATGTCTTTATAAGCAGCATGAAAACTAATACAACACATGATCCCATATTGAAAACCAGCAATGAGGAATATTACACTCATTAACTTCCCTTCAAGCTTTGGATCTCTTTCATAAGGAAAAGCTTGGTCCCTTTCAAGTATTCCCTTAATTAGTTTAAATGCACTGAGGATAATATCTCCATTTTAACACCAACTGATTTGGGACATTTAACATATTAGCAAAATCTTTTTGCTGAAGCACCTAGATTATTGTTTGATTGGATAGCCTGGAGAAAGTGTGTGTGTGCTAGAAAATGAGGATTTTGAGGAGCCATCTTAGAATTAAGCATAACCTCAAAAGTAGATGGACTGGAATGCTAAAAAGGTTTACATTATCGCCCATGCATGCTGTTCATTAAAAAGATAGAGAAAATCTATATAATGACCTAATTGCACATAAAATGGACAATGAAAATAAATTGTATTTAATTTTGGACAAAGAGCTAAAATACTTTGTTACCTTTTACCTATATTTAACTAAGGAATTTTGGAAAAAAAACCTAATACATAGGGTGGTGAAAATTCCATGTGAGATCTAACTGAGGGCTCTCTTTCAAGAAAGCTCACACCTATGCATAAAAAATTTACAGCTATGTATAAATGGCTCTTGCCATGCCAAATTATTACTATTTCTTGAACATTCTACTCTGGGTAACATCTGTTCCCTTTGTGCATTTTATTCTTAGGCAGAATTAGATATGCCATTTTCTGTGATCCAACAGTTACTTGCATACATCTCTATTCTGGAGCTTATTACTTTATATTTTTGCTAACTTCCCATGAAATATTGAATTCCATTTTGGCAAGAAATGCCTTGCTGCCAACTGCAACCAATAGATACTTGTTATGCTACCTGCCTCAGAGTGATCATTTCATAAAATATGGTTGTATTATTAAGTTGAATAAATGTAAGTCAATTCAAATAAAAAGATGTGTTTTTCCTACATGCTATGATTTTATATTTTTCAGCTATGTTGAAATATATTGGACAAATAAAATTTTTTTTATATTCAAATGTACAATATGGTCTTTTGATATACATATACATTATGTAATAATTACCAAAAACAAGCTAATTAACATATCAATAACCTCATCTGGTTACATTTTTTATGGTAAGAATAGATAATATCAATTGTTTTAGTGAATTTCAAGTATACAATACAGTATTATTAAATAGAGTAAGCATGCTGTGCATTAGGTCTCCAGAACTTATCAATTTTTCATAACTGAACCTTTGTATCCATGAGCAACAACTTTATGTTTCTTCTGCTCTTCAAATCCTGGTAACTACCATTCTACTTTTTACTTTTCTGAGTTTGACATTTGTAGATTCCACATAGAGGTAAGATCATGTCCATGAGCGTTGGAGACCACTTTCTGTCTCTAGCTTATTTCACTTAGCATAATGTCCTCCAGGTTCAAGTTGTCACAAGTGGCAGAATTTATTCCTTAATTAAAGCTGGATAATATTTTATTGTGTATATACATATATCCACATTTTCTTTATCCATGCATCTGAGGGTAGACACTTAGGTTGTTTCCATATCTTGACTATTGTGAATAATGCTGCAATTAAAATGGAAGTGCAAATATCTCTTCAAGATAGTGATTTTATTTATATATATACCCAGAAGTGAAATTGCTGCATTATACAGTAATTCTAATTTTTTGAGTAGACTTCATACAGTTTTTCAAAATGGTTGTATCAATTTTAACTCTCACCAACAATGCACAAGAGAAGTTTTCTTTTCTCCACATCCTCATGAACATTTGTTACCTTTCGTCTTTTTGATAATAACAGACATGATGTGATATCTCATTTCGATTTCAATTTGCATTTCTCTGAAGCTTAATGATGTTAAGCATTTCTTCATATACCTATTGATTATTTGTATGACTTCTTTTGAGAAATGTGTATTAAGGTCCTTAGCCCATTTTTTAGTCAGGTTTTTTTTTTTTGCCAATTATTTCTCGTAGTTAATTATGCATTTTGCATATTAACCTCCTCTCGTTTACATGGTTCATTTGGCAATTTTTGCTTTGGTTGCCTGTGCTTTTGAGTTCCATAAAATCATTGATCAGATCAATATTTCAGATCTTTTCTCCTGTGTTTTCTTCCAGTAGTGTTACAGTTTCAAGCCTTATACTTAAGTCTAATCAGTTTTGAGTTGATTTTTTGTATATGATGTGAGATAAGGTACTAATGTTATTTTTCTACTTTTATTATAATAGATACTCAGTTTCCCCAACACCATTTGTAGAAAAGGTTAGCCTTTCTCCATTGTGCATTCTTGGTACCCTCATGGAAAATTACTTAACCATAGATGTGTGGACTTATTTTGGATGTCCTATTGTCCATTCGTTTATATGTCTGTTTTTATGCTGGTACCATACTGGTTTGATTACCACACATAGCTTTGTAGCATCTTTTGGAGCCAGGTAATTTGATGCCTAAAGGACAAAGAATTTTGTCCTTTTTGACCAAGATTGTGTTGGCTATTTGAGGTTTTTTGTAGTTTCCTAATCATTTTAGGATTTTTTTTTCTATTTTGGTAGAGAATATTATTGAGATTTTAATAGAGATTGTATCAAAGCTGTAGATTTCTTTGACTGCTATGGACAGTTTAACAACATTAATTTTTGCAGTGCCAGGACTTTTTAATTACATAGTTTATTTTGTTGACTACCTTCTCATAAATAAAAAACTAATTAGTATCACAACCCTAAAAGATTAGAGCATAATCGCTAGCTAAGCCAAAAAATAAATAAATGTGTATGTATTCCATTAACACATGGGAAAAATTCAGTTGGCTGTCAAAATATCACCTTTTACCATTCATAAAATTATTCCATTTTGCTAAAACAAACTATTTGTTTATTTGATATGTGTTAACAAAATATAACTCTTAGAGCCAAATAAATAATGTTTTCTTGGTGTAAGCATACAATTCTCCTGAGTCATTAAGTAATACTAATTCCTAAAAATAAATAATATACAGGAAAAAGATAAGGAACCAAACACTGAAGGCTAAATCAACGTGTTCAAAGTAGTAAATACAGAACCAGGGAAACATGAGCCTACTGTCATAACTTCAGACAGCACAGATGGAATTTTAAAGGCATTATATTTGATTAAATAGTTAAGTGCCATCCAATGCCATATGAGTAACTTTATGTAATCAAAAAAGATTATCAATAAACTATACCAGGTATTGTTTATACATACAAGTAAAAATTCACATAAAGTTTATAATTGTGCTTCAAATCAATATCTTCTGGACTATTTTATGAAGAGTACATAACATATGTGTGTCAGGTATTGACAGATTGTAAGAAAAAGATAATTCACCTGAATTTTTAATATTCCAAACAATCTTTGAATGCATTAAAAAATGCTAACTTGGCATCTGTTTAAAAATATTATATGCAAAATTATTATTCATGCACCCAGTCATGCCAACACTCAACAAATATACAGTGATACATTCTTTCACCCAAGAAATAGAAAACTGAAACTTTTAAAAATTAATTTTCAATCTAATACATTTTCTGTTAAAAAATTACAGAAGTCACAATATGCAGCATTCTATGTGTTATAGGCAATGTGTTACATTTACACATATTAAGTAAACTAGAAATGGAATAATTTTCCATTTTTATGTTTACGTTGAATTATTTTATTTTTCCAGGGTTGCATATTCCCACAATAATCTAACGATAATGCCCAGTTCATGAGGTGTAACAATTACTTTTATTTGTTCAATAACTTACTTAATCAGTGTATGTTAATTCCAGTCTTTAATCTGCATCCAGTGAACTCACTTTATTATAATTACAGAATACATTGTGTGAGTTCTACGTGCCTAATGTTGTGCTTATTGAATTTGAGCCTAACAGCTCTGAAAACTGGCAATTGTATTCCACATTTTAGAAATAAAGTTTGTTGATTTTAGTTATGTGTGTATGTTTGCATGCTAAAATTACTTGTACTATCTATTATTTTTGTTTCCCTAGAGTTAAAAAATGTATTGTATTCAGTTTGCTTAGTTTTCTATGAACTTATAAACTCATCAACAAACTCTTCCTGTTATCACAAACCTTTTCGCAGTATACACAGACACATCAGGCAGCTTATCAGCTTCATCTTCTTGAAGAAATCTTTTCACAACTTGCTGCTCTATTCTAATTTGAAATGTGGTCTCTGTTTCACACTAGTCATCTTGGGGTTTTCCATCATCATTAACCTGACAATTCCATTGCCTTTATCTTACATATATCTCCTTATCTTTAGATCCTGTCTCTTCCTCTTTTTTAGTTTAATCTCTTGTATTTGTCAAGCCCATTTTTCAGTAGCTTTTTCTAAAATATTTATTGGGAGGGTGAGCTTTTTGACACCTTGCTCATATAAATGTTTTCGTGTTCTACCTTCATACTTAAATCAATATATACTCTGGATATAGAATGCTTCCCTTTCTCCACAGCTTACCACCATGCCAACTAGAGTTCATTATAACAACAGTGAATGAAATTAACAAAACAAATAGGTAAACCACAAAATGAGACAATTTTGCAACCCATATACCCAATAAGGAGCTATATCCAAAGGATGAGGGGACTTCAAACAGTTGTGAAAAAAATAGAATTAAAAGATAAAAATTAAAATATAAACTTTATTTTCCAACATAAGTTCTATCAAAATCATGACACTTTTGTAAGTGATGATACCAGTCATTTTTTTTTGATTCCTAAAGAACTGAGGTCCCTGGAAATGTAACCATTTCAATAAAGTATTTTTTATCTTACTAAATGAAAGAAAAAATGAGTGGCCTTTAATTTTTTTTTAAATAAGGATATAAAAAGAAGGCAGAAGGAGCCAAATGAGGACTGCAAGGAGGATGCCAATAATTTTCCATCAAAACTCTCACAAAATTGCCCTTGTTTGATGAGAAGGATGAGCAGGAGCATTATCATAGTAGAGAAGGCTCTCCCTACTGAGGCCTTCCTTGGTGTTTTTCTAAGTCTTTGGCAAATTTCTCAAAACACTTTCATAACAAAATATGTAATTATTCATTGTCCTTCCATAAAGTTACCAAGGAATATGCCTTGAGCATCTCAAAAATCTGTTGCAATGACGTTTGCTCTTGACCAATCCACTTTTGCTTTGACTGGACCACTGCCACCTCTCGGTAACGATTGCTTGGATTGCACTTAGTATTCAGGATCACACTGGTGAAGGCATGTTACATCTCCTGTTACAGTTTTTCAAAGAAATGCTTCAAGAACTTAATCCCACTTGTTTAAAATTTCCGTTGCAAGCTCTGCTCTATTCTGCAGCTGATCTGGATGCAAGGGTTTTGGCACCAATGGAGTAGAAAGTTTGCTCAACTTTAATTTTTCAGTCAGAATTGCATAACCTAAACAAATTGAGATGTCTGTGTCATCAGCTATTGTTTCTGCTGTTAACTGTTAGTCCTCTTCAATTAGGACATAAACAAGAAAACTTTTTTCTCACAAATTGATGTGGGTGGTTTGCTCCACAGGCATCATCTTTAGTATTGTCTCTTTCTTTCATACAATGAGTTATCCATTTGTAAACTTCTGACTTATTTGGAACACTGTCCCTAGTAACTTTTGTAAAGAGCAAATAAGTTTACTTTCTTCTACTCAAGCATCATCATAAATTTGATGTTTGTTCTTGCTTCAATTTTAGCAGAATTCATGTTGCAATGATAGGGAATCTTTTCAACTTTTCTTAGTAGCTCAAACTAGATCCTGTTATACATGTTACAACAAGTTTATTGTAACTCGTACAAGTTTATTTTGGTAAAATTTTTTTAAATTCATGCATAATTATTTTTATAATACAAATTTTTCCCATGAAATTTTTGAAAGTCCTCTATATAAGGAAGTCAAATAATTTAATAGCAAAACAACAAAAACCAAAACAAAAACAAAAAAACAAATGACCCTACTAAAAATGGATGGACAAACCTGAATAGACATTTTTCTAAAGAAAACAAACAAATCGGCAACAGATAAATGAAATTATGCACAACATCACTAATTATCATGGAAATGAAAATCAAACCACAGTAAAATATCACATCACACATTTGGCTGTTATTAAAAAAGACAATAGATAATAAATGTTGAAAGTGTAAAGAAAATTCTACATTGTTGGTGGGAACGTAAATTAGCATAGCCATAATGCAAAGCAGTGTAAAGGTTACACATAAAATTAAAAATAGAACTACCTTATGATCCAGCCATCCTACATCTGGGTATAAATCTAAAAGAAATAAAATCACTATCTTGAGGTGATCTGTACACCCTCATTAATTGCAGCATTATTCACAATAGCCAAGATATAGAAATAACCAAAGTGTTCATTCACAGATGACTGGAGACACACACACAAACAAATCCAGACACACACTGAAATTTCATTTTGCATTAATAAGGGAGAAAATCCTGCCATTTGCAACAACTTGGATGAATCTGGAGACATCATGCTAAATGAACAAACCAGACAGAGAAAGACCAATAATGCATAATCTAACTTATATGCAGAACCTAAAAATATCAAACTCATAAAAGTAAATAATAGAATGGTGGTTACCAGGGACTTGGGAGTCAGGAGAAATGTGGAGATGTTGGTCAAGAATACAAAGGATCAGTTTTGACAGATAAATAAGTTCTAGAGTTCTCATTTACAGCATCATGACTGTAGTTAATAACACTGCATTGTATACTTTAAAGTTGTTAAGAGCATTGATCTCAAGTATTTTTACCACACACGCACAAAATATAACAGCTTGGGGTAATGCATATGTTAATTAGTTTGATTGTGGTAATTATTTAACATTATATGTGTCCATATATCAAAAACATAACATTGTACACCTCGAATGTACTGTATGTAAGTTTTTATTTATCAAGTATACCTTAATAAAGATGAAAAAAACAATGGATTCTAGCAAAAAGAGCTGGAAGGTACCAACTCTATTTAAGAAAAAGTTATTAGGGAAATCTTCATGAGGAGACAAGGGCAGAGACATTAGAAGAATTTAAGCCTCTGGCACATACAGCTAGAGCAAACAAAATTATAGCTTAATTTCTAGCCACATTAACATTAAAAACTCACAGTAAAGTCCTCAGTTCCTACTACATCATACATCATGTTTGACTTTCAACAAAAAGTTAAAAGACGTGCCAAAGGCAATAAAAAAAAGAAACATAGACACATTCAAATTTGATAGATATTGTAAATCCACATAGTTCCATAGTTCTATGGCTTCAATCCATTGTCTATGGGGTGGTGACTTTCAAATTGATGACTCCAATCTTGACTTTCTCTTTGAGCTTCAAACTTAGATACCAAACTACACAAACAACATCTCCACTAGGATGTCTAATGGGTATCTCATAATACAATTTCTAAGAACTCCAAGTAACAGTCCCTATAATGAGATACTTTCCTGGTGCTCCCTACTTTGGTAAATGGTACATTCCTCCCAGTTTTCACAGTATGCACATATAATTTATCCTTATTCCTTTTTCCTACAGTTCTGATCAACTGGAATACATTCTTCGTTTACCATCAAAATATATTCCAAATCCATATGTATCTTAGCAGGTCCTTATTGATCACCTACTCTACTAATTTCTATAATTTTAAATAGACCTTATTTCTTTGAATAATTTTCAATTTATAGAAAATAACAAGATAGCGCAGAGTTGGCATACATGCCTCACCTGGTTCTCTCTAATATTCACATATAATAATGGTATGTTACAGCTTTTACAATGATTAAAAATTATTAATACTCTATTTTCTTACAATCCATAATTTATTCAGATTTCCTTCGCTTTCATGTGATTTTCTTTTTCTGTCCCAGGCTCCTATTATACATAACATTTAGTTGTTATCTTTCCTTAGGGTTCTCTTGTTTATGGCAGTTTCTCAGAAAAACAGGAGCCACTTCCAGACTTTATTGAAAAGACCCTATATAAGCTGTATATAATAGGCTTTGAGCCAAATACAGTGATTTGTTGGGATGCTTGTTGTGGGGCTGAATGTGCTCTGTGGGTTAGATGAAGGAAGCGATGAGGTGTTGGGGTGGAAATCAGCTATCTGAATTGCAACTGATAGATCACTGTTTCTGAAGTCGATGCTTTTCATTGTTCTTCTTTGCAAAATATTCAGCTTTGCAAATGGTGTTCTAAAATGAAATCTCCACTCCCCACCTTATTTTGTAGCTACATGAGTACATATGGCTGAATCCTGACCAGTTTGGAATGAGTAGGAGTATTGTGTGCCGGTTTCCAGAACCTTTCTTTAGAAAGTAGTTTGTGAATCGTCTTTGTTTATTTTGCTTCATTCCTTGTCTTTATTCCTTTTCTCGCTGGGATGTTGTCAGAGTTGTGGACAATGAAGACAAAAGCCACATTATAGAAGGTGGAGTGGTGAAAAAACCGTGATACTGATTCTCTTAGTACCTAATGTAGCAGTTTGCCTTTTTCTCATAATCTCATTCCTCTGCGCTTTTATTCTAGATTTAAATAAATTTCTATCATTTTAAGCTGCACTTATTTTGGGTATTTTTTTCTTTATCATCAACAGTGTAGCCTAATCTTAACTAATACAGACCATGGAGGTAAATGATAGTCACACATATCACAGTGCTGGACACCATGCGTTGTTGACGTATTTTCCACTGTTTTTTACATCAATAACATACATGTGCATATTTTCAGATTAAACACGCAAGCTGTCATTTTTCTTAGCTCAGAGGGGAAGGATACGTTCCGCGATTTTGTCTGTTGAACAGTAGTTGATGTATGCGAATGCTGGGAAAGTGTGTGGGATCTTGTGATACTAAGGGAAAAAGGCAAATATGCTGATGTTTGTCATGGTGTGAGTAATACTATCTTTTTTTCTGAAATAGGAGTCTTATGTTTTTTATTTGAATCCATAAAACCGTGGCATACTAACATAGTAGCTGGCAAATAGAAAAAATGTCAGACACTTCACAATTCCTAATACAACAAACATCCTCTAGCAATATATCTAACTCAGGTAATCCTCTGCAAAGTCTCCAGACAAACAAAAGAAAACTGTTCTATAGCAAGGAAAAGGAATACATTTGTGCTTACCCGAGGTTTCAAGGGAATCTGGAGATTAAAGTTTCTCTGGCACATCCACTCATGTATTCTCATTTTATGTGACTGCAACTCACTCCTTCCGTTTAAGAAACTGACTCTAGCATTGGGACTCATATAGGCAGTGAATTCAGCCAGTTTAGAAATTTAGCTATTTTTCCATTATATCCTCAGCCTGATTTTCTATCACAATTGGCTCTCTGGCTGTTCAAGGAGAGATCTTTCAATGCTCATATAAAGCCCATCTGACTTTCACACTGTCCCTTTAGTTGTTATTTGGCTTACTTGACTCTCCAAGGCCCCACTCCTCAGCATGATAACGATAGCTTAAAAAAAAAAAAGTACTGACTTCACTACTCTTAGAATTCTCTATCCCTGAAAATTCTCAAAGGCAAAACATATTGCTTTGCCCAGTGTATTTTCTTCTACCGGTTTGCCGTCTACCATTTGTGATGTTATCTGAGAAAGAGGGAACTTGATAGATTATCCAGAAAATTATATTAATCATTAGTTAAACCCATGGCACTTTCAGACTTCCCTGCAAGTAATCACTCAAGTGGTCAGAGACAGATCTCAGACAAAGATTTGCATTTAGAAGTCTGACTGATGTACAGGAAAAAATAGTAAGTTTCAGGCATTTGGACAAGACACAGTATTTGCTACTTCTGGAAAGGTCCTTCACAGCAACACTACAAATATTTGTTTTTCCAGGGCACAGCTCAAGTGTACCTGTGGACCAAGCAAACATAAAAGTGGAAAATTGTGACAAATTGATTATTGAATCAGTTGTAGTTATTGCGTTTGCCCACATTCACTTTAAAACACTGCTTAGAATGGTAAATTGCATTTATGTGAATTGAAAGCAAAATAAATATATTTTTATTAGGATATTCTAATATTTACTAAGAATGGAGATTTAAAAAACTGTATGATATAAAAAAAATAGGCTGGATGCAGTGGCTCACACCTGTAATCCCAGCACTTTGGGAGGCCGAAGTGGGCAGATCACCTGAGGTCAGTAGTTCGAGACCACCCTGACCAGCATGGCGAAACCCTGTCTCTACTAAAAATGCAAAAATTAGCTGGGGGTGGTGCACATGCCTGTAATCCCAGCTACTCAGGAGGCTGAAGCAGGAGAATCACTTGATCGTGGGAGGTGGAAGTTGTGGTGAGCTGAGATCGCACCACTGCACTCCAGCCTGGGTGACAGAGCAAGACTCCAACTCAAAAAAAAAAAAAAAAGTAATAAACAATTTTAGAATTAATTTCAATATGTGAGGCTGTTTAAGTAAACTATAAAAACACCAAGTGGTTTAACTCTTAAACATCATTAAAGTACAGTTGATAGTTGGAAATGTTTTATTATTGGGAGATTAAGAGCAATAAGGATATTTGAGCACTGTCATGCACCCCAAAACAATATTTCAATGAGATAGATTATATATACCACAGTGATGTCATAAGATTATAATTGAACTGAAAAATTCGTATCGCCTAGGAGTTATTATACTATAATTTTCATCATTACATTAGAGTGTATAAAATGACCCCTGTCTGTTCCTTCAGGGGGTATTCCACAAGAATACATTGTTAACATAGGAGATAACAGGTCCATGTATGTTACTGCCTTGGAAGACCTTCCAGTGAGACAAAAGCTGGAAGTGAAAGACAGTGATACTGATGATCCTGACCCTGTGTAGGTCTAGGCTAATGTTTGTGTTTGTGTCTCAGTTTTTAACAAAAATGCTTTAAAAGTAAAAATAAAGTAGAAATTTTGAAAAATAGAAAAAGCTTGTAAAATAAAGATCAAAGAAAGAAAATATTTCCGGATGGTTGAACAATGTGTTTGGCTTTAAGCTAATGTTATAAAAGAATCAAAAAGGTTTTTAAAAATTAAAAAGTTATAAAGTAAAAATGTTACAGTAAGCTAAAGTTAGTTTATTATTTATTATAGGGTTGTGTGAACATTTCAACAACATTAATGCTTTCAATCCATGAACCAAGGATATCTTTCCATTTGTTTGGGTCATCTTCAATTTCCTTCATCAATGTTTTATAGTTTTCAGTATACAGGCCTTTTAAATCTGGTTAAATTGATGTCTAAATATTTCATTTTTTTGTAGCTATTGTGAATGGAATTTTTTAAAATTTCTTTTTCAGATAGTTTGTTAGTGAAAAAATCTCAATTGTTTTTGATATGTTGATTTTATATCCTACAACCCACTGGAATTTATTAGTTCTAACCATTTTTCTGGTGGAATTATAAAAATCTTTATGCATAAGATCATGGTGTCTGCAGAAACAATTTAACATTTCTTTTTCTGATTTGAATGATGTCATTTCCTTCTTTCTCTTGCTTAATTGCTGTGTCTAGGACTATATTGGCTAGAAGCAGTAAAAGTGGGCATTCTTGTCTTATTCTTGATTTTAGAGAAAACGTTTTTAACACTGAGTATGATGTTAGCTATGGGATTGTCAGATATGTTCTTTATTGTATTGAAGTACACACCTTCTAAAACTAATTTGTTGAGGCTTTATCATGGAAAAATGTTGAATTTTGCCCAGCTGCTTTTCTGCATCTATTGAAGTGACCATATGGTTTTTATTCTTCATTCAGTTAGTGTGGTGTTTCACATTTATAGATCCATGATGCTGAACCATCTTTACTTCCTACAGATACATTTCTCTTAATATGGTGAATTATTCATTCAATGTATTCTTGAATTCAATTTGCTTGTATTTTGTCAAAAATATTTGAATCTATGCTTATCAAGAATACTGGCCTGTAATTTTCATTTCTTATAGTGTCCTCATCTGGCTTTCTTATCATGGAATGGTTTGTTATCATGGAATGCTGGTCTCACAAAGCGAGTTTATGAGTATTCTCTCTTCTATTTTTTGGAAGAGTTTGAGACAGATTGGCATTAGTTCTCCCTTAAATGTTTTGTATAATTTACCATTGAAGCCATGAGGTCCAGGGCTTCTCCTTGATGAAAGATTTTTTAATTATTGTTTTAATCTTCCTGCTCATTCATGGTCTGTTCAAATTTTCTACGTCTTCGTAATTCAGTTTTGGTAAATTGTGTGTGTCTCACAATTTCTTTCAGGTTATCAAATTTGTTGGCATAAAATTGCTCAAAGTTGTTGCACAATCCTTTGTATTTATGTGCTACTCACCCATATTAGCTGTAATATCTCCCCTTTCATTTCTGATGTTTGCTTTTGAGTCTTCTCTCTTAGTGTAACTAAAAATTGTCAGTTTGTTTAATCTTTTCAAAAACCAATTCCGTTTTGTTGACCTTTTCTATTGTTTTTCTAGCCTCTATTTCATTTATTTCTGCTTTGATTTTTATTATATTCTTCCTTATTATTAATTTGCTTTTCTTTAGTCCCTTGAGCTGTAATGCTAGATTGTTTATTTGGGAACATTTTCTTTTTTGATGTAGACATTTATTGGCATAAATATCCATTAGTTCCCTCAGAACAAATTTTACTGCATCCCATACATTTTAACATGTTGCATTACCATTTTCATTTGTCTCAAGACATTTAAAAATTTCCTGTTGGATTTCTTGTTTAATCCATTGGTTGTACAGAAGCATGTTGTTTAATTTTCAGATACAGGTAAATTTTTCCAAATTTTTCCTATGATTGATTTCTAGTTTTACTCCATTGTGGTTAAAAAGGAAACAATATGATTTCATTTTTTAGAAATTTGTTAAGACTTATTTTGTGGCTTAACATATGATCTATCCAGGAGAATATTCTATGTGTGCTTGAGAAGAATTTTTATTCTGCTGCTGCTGGCAGAATGATTAGTATAGGTTCATTAGGTCCATTTGATCTAAAGTGTTGTCCAAGTCTAGTGTTTCCTTATTGATTTTCTTTCTGGATGATCTTTTTATTTCAGAAATTGAGTGTTGGTTCCCTACTAATATTGTATTGCAGTATATCTCTCTCTTCAGATCTATTAATATTTGGTTTTAATGTTAAGGTGCTCTGATGTTGGATACATATAGATTTATATGTTATATATTCTTGATGAATTGATCTCATAAGCATTCTATAATAACCTCTTTATCTCATTTTATAGTGTTTGACTGGAAGTCTATTTTATTTGACATGAGTATAGCTACTCCTGCTCTGCTCTGGTTTCCACATGCATGGAAAATATGTTTCCATTGTTTTACTTTCATTCTACGTTTGCTCTTACAGAGGAAGTGAGTTTCTTATGGACAGTATATAAAGAGGTCCTGTTTGGGTCTTGTTGTTGTTTATAGTGGTTATTGCTTCTATGTGTGTTTTTCAAATCTATTCAGCCTATGCCTTTTGATTGGGAAATGCGATCTATTTACATTCAAGGTAATTATTGATAGCTAAAGACTTAGTGTCATTTTGTTAATTGTTTTCTGGTAGTGTTGTAGATCCTTTGTTCCTGTTTTTCTCTCTCCCTGCTTTCATTTGTGATGTGATTTTCTCTGGTAGTATGCTTTGATTCCTTACTTTTTAACTTTTTTGTATCTATTTTAGGTTTTGCTGTATAGTTACCATGAGGCTTTCAGGAAATGTAATTTTAATAGGCTATTTAAGCTGATAACAAGTAAACTTTAATCTCATAAAATAACTCCATTACTTTACTCTTCCCACACACACATTTTATGTTTTTGATGTCACAATTTACAACTTTTTATATTGTATAACCCTTAAAAATTACTGTAGCTATTATTTTTATTTTGTCTTTTAACCTTTATACTAAATATAATTGATTTTTACACACTACAATTACAGTATTAGAGTATTCTGAATTTGACTATATACTTACCTTTACCAGTGAGTTTTATACTTTCATATATATTTACGTTACTAATTATCATTCTTCCCTTTTATTTCTTTTTAGCTTAAATAATTACCTCAAGCATATCTTATAAAACAGGTCTGAGATTGAAAAGCTCCCTCAGTTTTTGTTTGTCTGGAACCGACTTTATTTCTTCTTCATTTCTAAAGGGCAGCTCTGCCAGGTAAACTGTTTTTGTTTTTGTTTTTGTTTTCAGCACTGTAATATGACATACCACCCTCTCCTGGTCTGTAAAGTTTCTGCTGAAAATCTGCTACTAGCCCTATTGAAAATTTCTTATATGTGATTTGCTTCTTTTCTATTGGCAATTTCACAATCCTCTCTTTGTCTCTGATTTTTGACAGTTTGATTATAATTCGTACTAATCTTGTTTAAATTTAGTCTTACTGGAGACCTTTAAGCTTCCAATTCCTAAATATTTCTAGGATTTCCAAGATTTAGAAAGTTTTTTGCTACTTTTTCTTAATCTTTCCACCATTTTTTCTCTTTTCCTATGTGAACTCATATTTGCTCTTTTGATGATGTCTCATGAATTCTGTAAGCTTTCTGTAAGCCTTCCTTATTTCTTCTTATATTTTTTCTCTTCTCTCCTCTGGCTGTATACTGTCTAAGAACTTGTATTTGACTTTACAGATTCTTTCTTCCAATTACCAATTCTGCTATTGAGACCCTGTATTGCATTTTTTCATTTTATTCATTGTATTTTTCAGTTCCAGAATTTTTGATTTTCTAATATAATTTCAATCTCTGTTAAGTTTCTAGTTTTGGTCATTTATTTTTTCTTTGATACCAATTAATTTTTTCACTGTGTTGTCTTGATGGCCCCGAGCTTTCCTAAAACATTTAGTTTGAATTCCTGGTGGGTAGTTTATATTCATTTCTTTGAGTTAGGTACTGGGAGATTATTGGGTTCTTTTGGAGATTAGGTTCTTTTGGTAGTTTTATGTCTCCTTGGTTTTTTCATGTTTTGTTGCCTTATGTTGATGTCTGCATATTTGGTGGAGCTGTCACCTTTTGCAGACATGATGGACCAGTTTTGTTGAGGAAGATTTTTCCCTATTGGAGGTGTGAAGACATTTTCAAGGTGGGATGCAGCAGTTCTAGCACCAGTAAGGGAGTCCCTTTATGGTGTCTCTGCAGCTCTGTGAACTGAGGTGGTATAAACAGAGTTTGTAGGAATCTTCAATCACAAATGCTATGGATATTCACAGTGACTGTGAGAGTTGTTAGAGTCTTTGGTGGTGATGACTGCTAAGGTACCTTTGGTCTCTTTTCCTTTCACTAGCAAAGTTGTGTCTAAGAGGGGTCATTTCTCTTAACACTGATCTGGCTTGTGGGCCTGATCATTGTGGAGGCAGCATTAGTGTCTGATGAATGAATGCTGCTTATAGAGCAGCCACACAGTTAAGACCTGAAGCATGGGTATGCATAGAAAGCCTATGGCTCTGGGATTTGCAGTAGTAATGGCATTGGTGCTTGGGATATAGACACCCATGCTGCTCTGTTGGTAATAGAATGCAAGGTATAAATGCTTGTGAAGTAATCAGGGCATTGAGAGTGTGGGCATTCACAGAGTTAAGAGTGGCTATGGGATTGGAGACAGAGCCAAGCTGTCTAGGGCAGCTGTGCTGGTAATTGGGTGCAGGCATCCTGCTGTCACTTTGGTAACCGTTTGTGAAGCACAGTTGCCTGTGAAGTAGCCAGGAAGCTGAGTATGGGAACATAGGTGTACACATGTTTACAGTGGCTCCAATATTGGGAAGGGTGGGGCCTAGCTCTCTATGGCAGCTGAGCCAATGTCTGGAGCACAGTCACTTGTAGCAAGAGCTTGGTTCCAGAGCTCGGAGTGCAAATTAGCTCACTGTGATGATTGTTGCAATACCTAAGATGTGGGTAAGCCTAGTGTGGCCACAGAGCCTGTGTTTAGAGTTTGAGCACTGTAGAGCTTGCCATGGCTCCAGGATTAGGCACCCAGGGGGCTGGAAGATATGGCAGCGCCTTTATTGAAGCAGGGCGACAGTGGCCGTTCCTGGGTGAGGGAGATATGTGAAGACATGTCCACCGCAGATGAGAGATGATTTTTAATAGGCAAAAGTTTTGGAATGCAGTTGACCTATTTCATACCTATTTTTGTGATATATACTTCTCCCAAATTTGTTTTTTAGTTAAGTTCTTCCATCTTTTTTCCTTATTGATATCATCCAGATAAGATTCTCCAACTATCTTCGAGATTATTAATTTATTTTTGGCAACCCTTCTGTTCTCAAATCATCCACTGAGTTTTTTATACCAATTCCTATTTGTCTATTTTTTGAATCTCTGATTAGTTCTTTATAAAATTATTCTTGCTTCATTATTTCAATATCAGGTTGGATTACCTTGAGATGTTCACTGTGCTTGCTTTTAATTACATGACAAATAATTTATTTGTTTGAACTTATATTTCTTCTGAGATAAAAAGAATTGTGGTTGTTAAGATATCTGGTTAGGAGTGAAACTCAAGTCGTAGTTTTTGCCCCTCCTGGTGAGTTTACTGCCGCACTTCTGGGGTTTGAGCTTGCTTTAGGTTGGCAAACCTCAGCTGTGCTAATAATAAAAGTCTCAAATGAAACAAGAGGCTAAAGAGGTACAGTAAACATCTTTTCAAAAAATCATGAGGTTTATAGATAATTTACACTATGCTAAAGACACTGTATATTAAGCATTTTGGTGATGATTTAGTGATTGCTACAGTAAATAAATAATTAAATATAAGGAAATTTTTTTTATAGGTGAGAAACAACATTGGATGGTTTCAGAGATACTGCCTGTTACTTACTGTTTGCAGTCAATATGGTTAAGAATTCAAAGCACAAGGAACAATTATCAAATATATTATTTGAAATATAGAAGTAAAAGTTACAAGGAATGTAAAAATATCAAATAATGTATTATCTGCATAGCAAAAATAGAAGAGTACAACAAATGGCTGCTGTATTTTATTTTAAAGCTTCCTGGTAATATTTTATCCTAAAGGTATGTATATTATTATGTTAATAAAAATAAATAAATATCTTAGGTTGAAATATATATTTATGAAGATTCATAGGGTATACTATATTCTGGGCAAATTTCAATAAAAAGAAACCATGCCTGACAGAGTTTTCAATTATTGAAGAAATATCACTTTATTCTAAATCACAGTGATAGGAATTAAAATTAAGAACTTAAGAATAACAAAGCCTTAGAATAAAATTACATCCAAAGAGCTTTGAATTAATTCTAAAATAAATGGCTCAACCTTTTATGTAAATCTTATTTAATAAATATATACATAAATAAATATTCCAGACAGAGATAATATAGCAAGAATAAAACCACAAAGACCATAAAAATTTGGCTCTAAATATTCACAGATGATGAAAAATAAAAGTATAATAAATACCTTGTTGCATAAAGGATGAAATAAAACAATTTTTCAAACTTGACTCTATAAATTTAATAAATAAACTTTAAAGGATAGTTAATTTTGTAAGGAGCCAGTAGTAGAATTTAAAAGAAAAAGTATGTCTCCCCGAAAAGAATGAGGAAGAGCAAAGTGAGATTTAATAAAAGGCAAAACATGTAATAAAAGGCAGAACGTGTAATAAAAGGCAAAACATAAAAAACATTCACATTTTACATATGTGTGTATGCATATGTATATACATATAATTTTGTTGTTTTCGATTATTCTATATGTCTGCAAGCATATGAAATATAAGCCAATTTATGATGATGAAATAACAAACATAACAAGTTATTCTAGATACATGAGCTATACTACAAAATAAAAATAAAAACAAATCCCTCCAAACAGTTTGCAAGAATGGAGTTTTAGAAGATAAGTAAATGTTTGATAAGAAAACACTCTATTAAAATTAGCTAAATCAAGAAAAAAGAATTTTGTTAAATTCATAAAATAAAACATATATTGAAACTATTCAGACAATAATTCATTTCAAAAATTGTTAAATGGCAGGCAAGCAATTTATGTTATCAAAGCTTCCTTAATATACCTATCAGCTATAGCTCTCATTAATGTTTAATTTTCAGGTTATATTGGATATATATACATTTATATATAAAAATTTAAATTTTTAAAAATGAATATGAAGGACATTTGACAGACTCACCATATCAATAAGATATTTTAACCCAAAACACTTGCTATAAATGACATTTTAAAATTAAAACAAATTCAGAAGTACTGATTAGAACTAATGTCATTATTTATTTTGATTTCAAGTTACATATAGGATATGGTTTCCAACAAATACAGACTAATAATTTTTTAAAAATTAATTAACAAATGAAGTATACATTTCCTTCCCCAAAATATCAACAAATGTAAAAAATATAAAATATCTGAGGCCATGTTTTATCATGTCAAGGCAATTGTCCCAGAATGTAATAAAACATTTGAACTGAAAACATGCACATATTAGAGTTTTTTTTAATTAAAGAAAGAAGAACTTTTACGTAGTTGTGCATGAACACCAAATAATAATTACAGGTTGTTTTACCAGATGACTATTGAATAATATTGCTTATAAAATTTGTTGGTACACTTTTAAAGCATTTTTTAAGTTGGCTTAAAAAAACTTACAGGTACATAGTAGGTTTATATATTTATGCGGCACATGAGATATTTTGATACAAGTATACAATGTGTAATAATCACATCAGAGTAAATGAGCTATTTGACACCCCAAGCATTCATAATTTCTAATTTCTTAGTGTTACAATCTAACTGTACTTCTTTAGTTATTCAAAATGTACAACAAATTATTGCTGACTGTAGTCATCCTGTTGTGCTATAAAATATTAGATCTTATTCATTCTAACCATATTTTGTACCCATTAACTATCCCGGTTGTCCCGCTCTCTGTACTACTCACCCAGCCTGTGACAACCACCATTCTACTCTCTATCTCCACGAGTTCAATTTTTTTAAATTTTTAGCCCCCCAAAATGAATGAGAACATGGGAAGAAGAGTGTCTTTCTGTGCCTGGCTTATTTCACTTAACACAATATGCTCTGATTCCATACATGTTGTTACAAATGACAGGATCCTATTCTTGTTTATGGCTGATTAGTACTCTTTGTGTAGAAGAATCCCATTTTCTTTATTTATTCCTCTGCTGATGGTCACAGAGGTTGCTTCCAACTCTTGTCTATTGTGAACAGTGCTGCAATAAACAAGAGGGTGCATATACTATCTTTGATATACCGATTTTCTTTCTTTGGGGTATATACCTAGTAGTGGGATTGCCGGATCATATGGTAGTTCTATTTTTAGTTTTTAGAGGAACCTCCATACTGTTCTCCATAGTGGCTTTACTAATTTATATTGCCACCAAAGTGTACGGGGTTTCCCCTTTCTCCACATCCTTAGTAGCATTGTTATTGCCTGTCTTTTGGATATAAGCTATTTTAACTTGTGTCCTAGACTGCCCTTCATATTTACTTAAAACCCCAGAGTACTATAGCCTATGGTGGCAAGGCTTGCAAAAACTCATGTTCTGAGCCCTGAGATCAATGATTTCCATATAGGGCTGATCTAAATGCTTCCTCTATGAGTCCCAGGCAACTTCTGCCTTGTGTTGCTTTCCACTGTGACAGGGCAGTGATGAGTTCCAATGCAAGGTCCCACAATCACAGCACTCTCCCTTCCCAAGCACAAGATTCTCTCTCCTCACCACACTGTGTGTTGGAGGATGGGGGAAAGGTGGTGTCAGCAATTCAAGACTGTCTTTCCTACCATCTTCATTGCCTCTTTTCTTGATATAATGTTAAAACCAGATACTGTTGTCATTCAAGCAATTTTTGGTTCATATGAAGGTGCTTTCTTGTCGGGAGAGTTGTTCGATTTGGTGTTCCTACGGGGTGATGTTCACTGGAGAGTTCTATTTAGCCAGCTCACCCCGTTTTCTCTCCAAAAAAATTATTTTAATTTTTGAAAAAAAAATAGTTTCCTAGAAAAAATATCTAAATATGCTCTCCATTTAACATTAATAATAGGCAACTGAACATTCAACTTAATAAATTTGAAAGGGATGAGTATAAAGTAATTATTCAGAAAAAAATTTAAAAGTGAAAATTTCCAAGTAAGGATAGGTAGGTACTTTATTTTAAAGTATAAATGATATAAAGAAGTTAGTGAAAGTCAAATAAAATGTTTGGTAATTTTTGTAAACAAATCATTAGGGACTAGAAAAAAGATGTAAGATATAGGAGTTTAGTATGTATATTTCTGGATAAATATATTTAAATATCTTAATTAGAGGGAATAGTTTTAAGCTACCTAACAAGAAAATTATGTATAAATAAGAATATTATTAATAAAAAATAACCTGAGGGTAAATTAACTTTTAAAGAACTATTTCACAATAAGAATTTAGCTAAAGTGGATCCATGTATACTTCTCCGAATCTTTATCTTGTTTTTAAAGACACTTAAAGAATTATAATGCTACCCAGGTGGAGTGGCTCACACCTGTAATCCCAGCACTTTGGAAGGCCTAAGAGGGAGGATCCCTTGAGCCCAGAGTTCTAGACCAGTCTGGGCAACATAGGGAGACTCCATCTCTACAAATTATTAAACACAAATTAGCTGGGTGTGATAATGCACAACTGTAGTCCTAGCTGCTGGGGAGGTTGTGGAGGGAGGATCACTTAAGCCCAGCAGATGGAGGTCGCAGTGAATCATGATCACACCACTGCACTCCAGCCAGGGTGACAGAGTGAGATCCTGTCACAAAATAAATGAATAAATAAAAATTGAAAAAATAAAAATAATGATAATACCTAGAGCATATGTGTCAACTGAGAAATATAAGAAAGTGTAAAGTATGCAAAAATGATTACTGAGTTTTATCAGGAAAATAAAACGCACCTGCCAACAAAGAACCCCTCTATAGCAGCATAGAAAAGAGACAGAAAAACAATTTATTACTGAATAAAGGTTAACTGATTTACATTCATGTATGAGAGCATGAAAGCAAATACAAAAATGTATAGAGTATCACACAAATTTAAGTAGTAAAGCAGAATAAAGAACAATGAAAACTTCTCTTATCTCTTCAAGATACAGACAGTCTGCACCTCCTGATAGTCTTTTGTACTAAGAGACATCTGAGCTAATTCTGGTAGAACATGTTTATATATTCAGAGATTATTTGACCTGCAAACTTGGCAATAAATCAACTTTGTAAAAACCAGGGCCTGGGAATAATTCCTAAAGAGATTTATCTTCACGTCAAATGTTAGAGTCAGATTCACTGTCTCCAAGGAAACACTACAAAAAAATGAAGAACAAAGGGAAAATGGTCCCTTATACCTTTATAAATTGTTAAAATAATTTTTATTTCCATGTACAATGTCTCAGTGGAAAACTGATCATTGTTTGGAGCAAGAATACCCTCCTGGCTTAGCCATTTCTATCCTTTCATTGACTTTGGGATATTTTAAAGCAAGTTATACTGAAGAAAACAATGGCAAGTCATATGCAAACATTTTTATCCTGTAAAGAGACTTACTTTCCATCTCCCAAACTTAGAAAAAAGCCAGTGTGGCAGGCATTTGTAATTTATTTTAATATACTTGATATATAAATGTGTTTGCTCTTTGCATTCTCCTTTAAATATGCTGTAAACACCTAATCCATTCCTCTATTAATAATGAGTTAAAGATAATTTTAATACTTTAATATTTTGTGTTGCTATAAAAGAATACCCAAGGCTGGGTAATTCATTTAAAAAAGAGGTTTATTTGGCTCACAGTTCTGTAAGCTGTACATGCAGCAGGGCACCAGCATCTGCTTCCGGTGGGGACCTAAGGCCATTTCCACTCATGGTAGAACATGAAGGAGAGGTGACATGTGCAGAGATCACATAGCAAGAGAGGAAGCAAGAGGGAGATGGGTGGGAGGTAGCCAGGCTCTTTTTAACAGTCAGTTATCCTGGGAACTAATAGTGAAAACTCTCTCATTACTGTGAGGATGACACCAAGGGATTATTCCCTATGAGCCAGACTCCACCTGCTCAGCCCCACCTTCCTACACCACAACACTGAGGATCAAATTTCAACTTGACATTTGGAAAACAAATGCTCAAATCACAGCAGCAAGTTTTATGGTCTCAAGATAGAAGTGAACACCGTGAGATACTCAGATATTTCACCATGACCTTGAAAAGCATATTTGAAGCAGCATTTCAAGCAAAAGTTTCTTTGGATTATCTAGCTTAATTATTAACGCCTTTTCAATTAACATGCCCCTAAAGTAAAAAGATGATTTGTCTGATTGGGTTAGTCTACATCTGGGTAATTGTGCGAAATATTTAGATAACACTATATACTTTAAGCTTCTGTAAAGAAAGAAGAGAGAAATTGATTTAAGATACAAACAATAGTAGATGAAAATAATTAAAATTTAAAAGTTCTGTTTGTTCTGTGAAGTCAGAAATTTTGTGAGTTTTGTTTATAATTATTAGTACTTATACAATCAGATTCTTTTCACTTGGGTCTACAAAGTTTGTATCTAGTTTAAGCATGGAAAATTTGTATATAAAAGCCTAACAAATTTATTTTTTATAAGGACAATAATATTGTAAAAGTACCATTAATTATTGCTTAATAACCAAATATATAAAGATCTCAGAAAACTCTATAGGAAAAAATTTAATGATGCAATCAAAAGATGAGTAAAATATTAAAATAGACATTTCTCAAAAGAAGACATACAAATGGAAAACAAGCATATGAAAAGGTCCTTAATGTTACTGATCATAAAAGAAATGCAAATCAAAACTACAATGAGATATCATCTCACACCAGCTGAAACAGCTTCTATTCAAAAGACAGGCAATAACAAATGCTGGTGAGGATGTGGAAAATTGAGAACACTTGTAAGCTGTTGGTGGGAATGTAAATTAATTAGTAAAGCCACTATGAAGAACAGTATGGTGGTTTCTCAAATAACTAAAAATTGAGCTACCATATGATCCATCAATCCCACCCCTTGGTATATATCCAAATAAAGGAAATCAGTATATCAAAGAGGTATCTGAACTACCATGTTTGTTGCAGCACCATTCAAAATCGCCAAGATTTGGAAGCAACATCAGTGTCCATCAACAGATGACTGGATAAAGACAATGTGGTACAGATACACAATGGTGTACTATTCAGCCATAAGAAAGAATGAGATTCACTCATTGGCACCAACATGGGTGGAACTGGAGATCATTAGCTTAAGTGAAATAAACCAGGCACAGAAAGACAAATACTGCATGTTCTCACTTATTTGTGGGATCTAAAAATCAGAACGACTGAATTCATGGACATAGAGAGTAGAAGGGTGGTTACTAGAGGCTGGAAAGTGTAATGGGGAGTTGTGGGAAGGTGGGGAGGTTTAATGGATACCGAAAAAAAAAAATGAATAAACAAGACCTACTATTTGATAGCACAACAGAGTGACTATATTCAATAATAATTTAACTGTACATTTTAAAATAAAGAGTGTAATAGAGTTGTTTGCAACTCAATGGATAATTGCTGGGGGGGATGCATATTCCATTCTCCATGATGTGCTTATTTCACATTGTTTGCCTGAATCAAAATATTTCATGTACCCCATAAATATTTATACCTAGTATGTCCCCCCAAAATTCAGAAAAAATAAATAATAAAGATTTTTTAAAACTTTGGAAAAATATCACTAATTATCTTACATGGATTTTTAAAAAAATATAGAATGGTATGGCCGGGTGCAGTGGCTCATATATTTTTCTGTCATAATAATCTGGAAATAATTACAGTTGGTAATATATTTTTATTAATTTTTGTCATTTCCCAAAAACCACTCTTTACTTTTATTCTATCTTTTTAAAATAATTCTTCATCAGGGCACATTTTTAACATATTTATTCCAACTCAAATTTCTACTTCAATAGCAGAACAATACAGGCATATTTTAGCTAATTTTCTTTACTTCCTAGGTACTAGTTTCCATAGAAATATATATATATATATATATGTATAGTAATCTCCAATGAGTCAATCAGTTGCTGTAGTTGATAAACATAGTGCTATTCTGGGGTTTCAAAATGTAATAAAAATTGGTTTGTTCCACATAAAATTAATATAAACAAAAGTATGGGTTGCAGCTGTGCTGGTCTACTCAGACTTTCCCTGTAATATTCAGATCTATGTATTTTAACAATAAAATTTATCTTAATTTTATCTATAAAGTATCTGTAAAATCAAGTGAGAGTAAGGACACAAGAAGATAAATACATGCTTTTATTTAGCAGCAAATGCATTCAAATTATCTGCTCCTGTTTTTTGTTTTGTTTAGTAATCACAGTAGACAAAACAATGTTTCTGTTTCACTTCTGACATGTAAGAAGTTTGGAAGCAATCACTCTTGTCCTTACAACAAGAAAAAATAGACAATGTGAAAAATCAATGACTTTTCTGGTCCACGACAGAACTGAAGTCACAGAGTAAACCATCATCCCCAAGTTTGAAGAGACAAGCACATCTGGAGATAAACAGGAGCTCTGTAGCAAAAGTCACTAAAGCCATAAAATGGTAGAAGCATTTATATTATAATTTCACAAATTTTATGGAGTTTGAGTTTCAACCTACAAAAGTTTGGGTGTACACTGAGTTGAGAGTGAGAAACTCCTGAAAGCTTAATCTTAGAGGGTTTGCATACTTTCATGAGCTTTACCCCCAGAATCTCCACCAGGTTTTAATGGTGAAGGGCCCAGAAAGATCCCTTTGTCACTCTGGAAAAAGGAAGAGAAGAGTATCATTGTGAAACATTCAAAGAGTTGTCTCTATAATGAAGTGTTATTCTCCGGGGAAATGACTTCACCAGAACACAACTGTGAAAGAAATATCTTTTGTCTCCAGTTCCTCAGCTTTTCTGTCTCACTTGGAGGAGAAAGGGGGAATATATTCAGTTTGGAACAGGAGTTCAAGAAAATATATTTGGAAACTGAAGTCAAACTAAGAAGCAGTGGGGGAAAAAGAAAAAGAAAGTGCTTTACCACTGAATAAAAGCACTTCCCAAAGCCATAGTCTTAAGATATAGATTGGCCAAAGGATTAAATGTATTCAGAAGATTATGGAATAATCCTCCTTCTGCACATGCTACTGTCGCATCAGTAGGGCTCCATTACAATAAAAGTGAATTAGAGCTGAAAGTCTTGCAAAGTGTGGACTCTCTCTAAGAAGAATTACTCAGGAAAGCCCCCAAACAAGAGGAAAGACAAAAACAAAGGCACTGAAAGAATTGTAGCATCTGATACCTGTAGCAACAACAAACATCAAAAACAGCTCCATTCCTACTTAGATTAACATAAGTCCTCACACTGGAAGTCTCTTTATCTCAGTTTCTATTACCTGATATGACATATCTAGGTTTCAACAAAAAAATTGCAAGGCAGGTCAAAAGGCATAGCTATTAGTCATGTTAGACAAAAAATTTAAAATAAATGTGATGGATGTGAAAAGCAGATATCATGCAAGAAGAGATGGGGAATGTACTCAGAAAGAGGAATAAGGTATGAAAGTACTAAAATGAAACTCTAGAAATAAAAAATCTTACAATGGAAATACAAATTAGCATTCATGGGGTGATCAGTATACTGGACACTACCTAGGAAAGAATCATCGACTCTGAAAATAAGTCAATTGAAATATTATAACTGAAATGCAAAAAGAAAAAAAATATGAAAAAATAGAACAGAATATTCAGAATATAACATAATATCAATAGATATTGTTGAACAATATCTAAATCCATAACACATATGTAATTGGAATACAAGAAGAAAAAGAGAATAGACAAGAAACAAATATTTGAAGTAATAATGACTGAGAACCTTACAATATTAATAATAGTTAACCAAACCAGATATAAGAATCTCAGAGAATACCAAGCAGAATAAACACCTTAACACCCCACATTTGGAAATTGCATGTTTAAACTGCAGAAAATTAAAGATGAAGAGAAAATACTGAAAGAAGCCAGAGGAAAGAAAGAATGTACAAATTTATAAAGAAACAAAAATATGTATTACAGTAGACTTGTGTTCAGATACCATGGAAGCAAGAAGGAAGTAGAACAAAATATTTAATGTTCAAGGAAAACAAAACAAAATGCCATGCTACACTACTATACCTAGTATAATATTCTTTTAAATATAAAGGAGAAATAAATGCTTTCTCATATAAACAAAAACTGGGGTAATTCATCACTAGCAAATTTGCTCTGCAAAAAAGAAAAAAAAAAGTTAAAACAGTTATTCAGGTAGAAGGAAAATGATTCAGCCAGAAAATTTAATTCACATAAATAAAAGAAGAGCGACATGGAACAAATTTAAAAAGTTAATATAATTGAAATCATCTAATGGAATCTCTTTCCATATGCAGGATGTTCATGGTGCTTTAAAAATTAAACTCACTCACGTTTTGTTTTGTTTTATTCAATTTTTTAATTTATTTTCATAGGTTTTTGGGGAACAGTTGGTTTTTGGTTACATGAATAAGTTCTTTAGTGGGGATTTCTGAGGTTTTGGTGCACCCATCACCCGAGCAGTGTACATTGCACTTAGTGTGTAGTGTTTTATCCCATACTACTCCCTACCCTTTCCCTCAAGCCCCCAAATTCCAATGTATCATTCTTATTCTTTTGCATCCTCATAGCCTAGCTCCCACATATGAGTGAGAACATGCAATGTTTGGTTTTCCATTCTTGAGTTACTTCACTTAGAATAATCTCCAATTCCATCCAAGTTGCTAGATAGATAGATTTAGATATAGATAGATATAGATATAAATGCACTACTCAGTGTATATCTATATAATATTTATATATAATATATACAATATATTTATTATATTTTTATATTTATTATATAAATATATATTTATTGTAAAATATATAATTTTATTTTTATTATAAAATATATATTATACATTATATATAAAATATTATATATTTTATATATATGTATATACACACACTCTACTCAGCCATGAAAAGGAACAAAATAATGGCATTCACATTCTATCTATCTATCTATCTATCACATTTTCTTATCTACTTGTTGATTAATGGGCATTTGGGCTGGTTCCATATTTTTGCAATTGCAAATTGTATTGCTATAAATATGTGTGTGGAAGTATCTTTTATGTATAATGACTTCTTTTCCTCTGGGTAGAGACCTAGTAGTGGGATTGCTGGATCAAACTGTAGGTCTACTTTTAGTTCTTTAAGGAGTCTCCAGACTGTTTTCCATAGTGTTTGTCCTAGTTTATATTCCCACCAACAGTATAAAAGTGTTCCCATTTCAATGCATCCACACCAACATCTATTGTTTTTTGATTTTTTGATTATGGCCATTCTTGCAGGAATAAAGTGGTATCACATTGTGGTTTGGGTTTGCATTTCCCTGATAATTAGTGAATTTGAGCATTTTTCCATATGCTTGTTGGCCATTTGTATATCTTCTTTTGAGAATGGTCTATTCATGTCCTTAGCCCACTTTTTGATGGAATTGTTTTTTTTT
Source organism: Homo sapiens (assembly GCF_000001405.40). Taxonomy (NCBI): domain Eukaryota; kingdom Metazoa; phylum Chordata; class Mammalia; order Primates; family Hominidae; genus Homo; species Homo sapiens. The sequence continues at coordinate 86,807,853 of NC_000013.11, read as the reverse complement.
TTTTTCCTTGCTGATTTGAGTTTTTTATAGATTCTGGATATTGTTTTTTGTCCGATGTATAGATTGTGAAGATTTTCTCTCAGTCTGTGTAAACCCACTCATGTTTTGATTCACAGACTTTTACCTTGTTATATATGGGGAGGGTGTACTTAATACTATTGATTGGGCCTGTTGTTTCAAAAGCTCTCCTTCATTTTTATATTGAATCAAAATTTTCAATTCTTAAACTTTTAGAATACAAATAAACATTAGATACTATCATTTGTTAATATAGTACCAGAGTAAATTAACAGCCACATATAAGAAAAAATGATAAATGAGTCATGAACTTTGTGCCTGGATTCTTACCTAAAGCAAAAAGAGAGAGGAAAACCTTATAATATCATAGATCACCATCTTCATAGTTTTGCTTTCTTCTGCTATCATGAAAAGAATGATCAATTTCTCATTTAATTTGCCTTTTCATTCCAATTGAATAACTCTGAGTTTCTTTTAATTTGCTTGAAATATAAAATTAAAATATTAATCTAATAACAACATAAAATTATTAAAAACAGTCCTACGTGATAAAGGTTGGGAGGTAAAAAGTCAAAAGCAGGAGAAAGTCAAAGCAGCTTGGTTGATGACATTTTCTCTGATTCTCCAAATCTAACCATTCTCTACTTTCTAACCCAAAAGCATAAGAATAAGAAAACACACCAAATCTGTGACAACAATGCTATCTTTTCATATAGTTAGTCCACATTCTTAATCCTTCTATGAAGAGAGCAATGAGTTGACATGAAATTCATTGTGCTTATACACTATAATGTGATGTTTGACAAGCCATGAGATATTAATGAACAAGGTTTAGTTTATCATGGCATCAGATCAGCAATGTTTGCACCATAATTGAGTAGATAATGAAATTTGTTTTTAAGCTTTAAAGCAGAGTCAAGGATCTGAGCAATGCTGAGCAATCAGGCTACATTGCTGCAAGCTAATTTAGTGTTTTGGGGCTATATAGATCATTTAATCTGTCACACATCCTATTGTCCTGAATAAACCAAATGAAGCATATTTTAATTTTCACAAACAAACTTGTTATTCATTCTCCAAGACCTCTTCGTATCATGGGATTAAGGATAGTCTTATAGGTTGGCTACATTACTAAAATTTAGGGATGGTGTAGAACTTGATATCAGTATTACTAAGTATAGAAATAGTCATTTTTAACCATTTACTAGTATAAATAATTGCCCTTTGCCTAGTTTGTAACAAATAGGCTGATTTGAAAAATCTGGCACTGATTACACGGTTGTTTTTAAGGCCATGAACAAAGAAAATCTGAAGTATAATTTTGTGGGAGGAGAGTTCTAGTCTTTTATAATAGTCTAACCAAGTGTATAAGAGTACTGTGATTTTCAGAATTACCTTTCCCAACATTTGCTAACTTAAACGTGGCACTTCTCAAAACATTGAACATGTACTCTTATTCAAATCTGTCTCTATGTAATTTTACTCAAATTTCTTGAAAATGAAAAATGAACATGTTATTTTCTTACTTCAAGAGTGGATGAAATTATACAGAAAAAGAGAAAAGAGTTGAATTTAAAATAGTGTTTAGCCAGCATTGATTTATCCTATCACATATATCTTTTAGAATATTCATAAATAATAAGTTCAAATATGAATTATTATCTGAATCTATTGTTAGAATCTAGATTGATTCCAAAATGTATTATGGCAACAGAGCAAAAGAATTCCATATCATTTAGAATCACCCTGTTAATTTTATCACAAACATCGTCACTAAATATAATTAAAATGTAGTAGGTTGATGACAGATGTAGCGATGAAGACAGGAAAAGAGAAGAAGGGAGGGATGGAAGAAAAGTGAAAGACAGAGAGAGAGAGAAAACACCTGGCAAATAGATACATAAAAATTCTTAGAGCCCAAAAGTAAAGATTCTCAGAAGCCAAAATAAAAATAAAAATGTGATTGTGAATGCTGAGGGGACACGTAGTTCTAACCTTCATTTTACCTTTGAAACATTTGCTTTACACTAAAGAATATGTTTCTCTTTTGAAGACCACTAGAAATTATGGAAGAAAGAGTCAATTCTAGATCTCGCCCAAAGTTCAGTGTCAAATAAAAACTTTCACATGGAAACATGGATCACAAAAGTCTACACAATCATATTAGGATGAATTAGATATGAATTCATCTTGCAATATGGCTTATAAAGAGATTCTGTCTCCTGGAAAACTAGTGCTGAGTGAAGGGAACAAATTCTTGGCTAGGAATATGTTACCATAGACTAGCCTACAAATGCATTTGTGTTTCAAATTCAGACTACCTGCATCATCCAAAAATTCTCAAGTCACAAAAAGTGACCAAAAGCAAAAAGTCAGCAGTTGTCAGTCTACACATCCAAAAAGGTTTCATTGTGGGATTACAAATCTACTCACCAATAAAACTTCCTACTTCCCTGCAACTGTTACCTAGTTGGATGATATTGAACCTAGGCTAGAGAGACAATGGGATTATGTAGTTAAGACAAAGAGAAGCACATAGCCTAGTATATCCTTTCTATTTTTCTCACTATAGGCTTTCAATGGCCTAGACAAAGAGAAGACAAGGAGAAGCACATGGCCTAGTATATCCTTTTATTTTTTTCTCACTATAGGCTTTCAATGTGGAGCAGTGCTGAGTGTGAGGAAGAAGACTTCTGTTAAATTACATGTTGAGTTTACATAATTATGATTTAATTACTGCAATAACACTAGTATTGTGACATAAAATTACTTGGAGCATACCTAAGAATTGATATACCAATTTCCAATTATATATAGATACATTTCTGCATTTCTTCCTGTGCCAATGACACATGGCTTTAATTATTATAGTTTTATAATTAATGTAAATGTCTTACTGTGAAAGCCATAGATTTTAAACAACTCTTTAAATATCTTGGTTCTATTAGGACTTTTTTATTCATATACACTTTTTAGACAGTTTGTTACATACATTGTTTAGATTTTGGTGTCACATTTATTACATAGAACAATTTAGTGAAATGATATTAATAATATCCCTATACATTCATGACTATGGTATAGCCTACTGTATGTTAAGTTTTTATTTTATCTAGTATATCTCAGTGTTTCTGGAGGATGATTTTCCTAGTAACAAATCTGACCAGAATAAGTAATCTCCAATTTTCTCCACTAATAAATTTAAAGCCTTTGGATCTTTTGTTGACAGGATGAAAATGTATCAGTTAAAACTTTTATTTATAAAAATATATAAACTTTATAAGCCACTGCTTGTTATTTCAGATGACAGTACTAAAACATGTCAAAAAGTGTGTGTGTATATATATATACTACTACTTGTTTAAATTTATAATGGGCCTGATATGGTTTTGCTCTGTTATCCCACCCAAATATCATGTCAAGTTTTCATTCTCAGAATTGGAGGAGGGTCTTCGTGGGAGGTAATTGAATCACGGGATTGGATTTCCCCCTTGCTGTTCTCATGATAGAGTTTTTAACAAGATCTGGTTGTTTGAAATTGTGTACCACCTCCTCCTTCTCTCTCTCTGTCTCCCCTTCTCAGGTCATGTGATGATGTACCTTCTTCCTCTTCAACTTTGACCATGATTGTAAGTTTCCTGAGGCCACCCCAAAAGCAGAAGTCTGAACAGCCCACAGAACAGGAGCTGATTCAACCTCTTATCTTTATAAATTACCCAGTCACAGGTATGTCTTTACAGCAGTATAAGAACAGACCAATACAGAAGATTGGTACCAGAGCAGAAGGGTATTGCTGTAAAGATACCTGAAAATGTGGAAGCAGCTTTGGAACTGAATAATGGCCAGAGGTGAAATAGTTTTGAGGGCTCAGAAGAAGACAGGAAGATGAGGGAAAGTCTGGAACTTCCTAGAGACTGGTTGAATGATTGTGACCAAAATGTTGATAGCTATATGGACAGTGAAGTGGAGGCCAAGGATGTCTTAAATGGAAATGAGGAACTTACTGGGGAATGGAGAAGGGGTCACTTTTGCTATGCTCTAGCAACAAGACTTGTGGCAATGTTCCCCTGCTATAGAAACCTGTTGAACTTTGAACTTGAGAGAGATGATTTAAGATACGTGATGGAAGAAATTTCTAAGCAGCAAAACATTCAGGATGTGAGCTGGCTGCTTCTAAAAGCTACACTCATTTGCATAAGCAAATAGTACTTACCTTTAAAAGAGAAACAGAGCATAAAATTTAGAAAATTTGCAGCCTTGCCATGTGGTAGAAAAAAAAATCAGGAGAAATTCAAGCCAACTTCAGAAATTTGCATAAAGAGAAGCCAAATGTTAATATCCAAGACAATGGAGAAAATGCTTCCAAGGCATTTCAGAGACCTTTGCAGCATCCCCTCCCATCACAGTCCTAGAGGCCTAGGAGGGAAAAATGGTTGTGTGGACCAGACCCAGGGCCCTGCTGTTCTTTGCTGCCTTGGGACATGGTGCCCGGCATCTCAGCTGCTTCAGCTCCAGCCATGCCTAAAAGGGGACAAGATACAGCTTGAGCCATTACTTCAGAGGGTGCAAGCCCCAAGCCTTGATGGCTTCCCCATGGTGTTAAGCCTGCAGTTGTGCAGAGGGCAAGAGTTGAGGCTTGGGAGACTTCACCTAGATTTCAGAGGATGTATGGAAATGCAGGGATATCCAGTCAGAAGTCTGCTGCAGGGGCAGAGCCTGCATGGAGAACCTCTGCTAGGGCAGTGTAAAGGGGAAATATGGGGTTGGAGCCCCCACACAGAGTCCCCACTGAGGTATTGTCTAGTGGGCCTTTGAGGAGACAGCCACTGTCCTCAAGACCCCAGAATGGTAGCTCCACTGACAGGCTCCACCATGTACCTGAAAAAACCACAGGTACTCAGTGCCAGTTCTTGTGAGCAGCCATGAGAGATGAGTCCTGAAGAGTAATAGGGGCAAAGCTGCCCAAGGCTGTGAAAGCACACCTCTTGCATCAGTGTGGCCTGAATGTGAGATATCAAGTCAAACGAGATTATGTGTTGGAGCTTCAGAATTTAATGACAGACCTGCTGGATTTCGTACTTGCATGGGGCCTGTAGCCCCTTATTTTGGCCAATGTCTCCCTTTTGGAATACAAGCATATACCAAATGACTATACCCTCATTGTAACTTGAAAGTAACTAACTTTTTTTTTTTTATTTTACAGGCTTTTAGGCAGAAGGGCCTTGTGTTGTTCAAGATGAGACTTTGGATTGTGAACTTTTGAGTTAATGCAGAAATGAGTTAAGACTTTGAGGGACTGTTGGGAAAACATGAGTGTGTTTTGAGATATAAGAAAAACATGCGATCTGGGAGGGGATGGGGCAGAATGATATGGTTTGGCTCTGTGTTCCCACACAAATCTCTTTTTGAATTATAATCTTCAGTGTTGAAAGAGGGGCCAGGTGGGAGGTGACTGAATCATAGGGGAAGACTTCTCCCTTGCTATTCTCATGATAGAGTTCTTATGAGATTGATTGTTTGAAAGTGTGTAGCACCCCTCACCCTTATTTGACCACGGAAAGATGTGCCTGCTTCCCTTTCACCTTCTGCCATGATTGTAAGTTTCCTGAGGTATCCCCAGCTGTGCAGAACTATGAGTCTGCGAGTCAATTAAATCTCTTGTCTTTAAATTAACCAGTCTCAGGTATGTCTTTATAGCAGTGTGAGAACAGACTAATACAGGGCCTGTACAAATTTGTATTGCCAAAAGATTTGTAAATAAAAAAAGTAGCATGCAATTATATAGTGTATTAGTCCGTTTTCTTGCTGCTGATAAAGACATACCCAAGAGTGGGAAGAAAACAAGCTTTAATGGACTCACAGTTCCTTGTGGATGTGGAGGCCTCACAATCATGGCGGAAGGTGAAAGGCACATCTCACACAGTAGCAGAGAAGAGAAGAGAGCTTGTGCAGGGAAACTCTCCCTTTTTAAAACCATCAGATCTGGGCCAGGTGCATTGGCTCACACCTGTAATCCCAGCACTTTGGGAGGCCAAGGTGGGTGGATCATGAGGTCAGGAGATCGAGACCAACCTGACCAACATGGTGAAACCCCATCTCTGCTAAAAATACTAAAATTAGCCAGGTGTGGTGGTGCATGCCTTCAATCCCAGCTACTCAGGAGGCTGAGGCAAGGGAATTACTTGAACCCAGGAGGCAGAGGTTGCAGTGAGCCAAGATCATGCCACTGCATTCCAGCCTGGGTGACAGAGTGAGACTCTGTCTCAGAACAAAACAAAACAAAACAAAACAAAACAAGGCCATCATATCTGGTGAGACTTATTCACTCTCATGAGCACAGCACAGGAAAGACCTGCTCCCATAATTCAAGCACCTCCCACTAGGTTCCTCCCATGACACTTGGGAATTATAGGAGTTACAATCAAAATGACATTTTGGTGGGGACACAGCCAAACAACATCATTCCACCCCTAACTTCTCCCAAATCTCATGTCTTCACATTTCAAAACCAATCATGCTTTTCCAACAGTCCTCTAAAGTCTTAACTTATTTCACCATTAACTAAAAAGTCCAGAGTCCAAAGTCTCATCTGGGACAAGACAAGTCCCTTCCAACTATGAGCCTATAAACTCAAAAGAAAGTTAGTCACTTTCTAGATACAATGGGGGTACAAGTATTGGGTAAATATAGCTGTTCCAAATGGGAGAAATGGGCCAAAACAAAGGGGCTATAGGCCCCATGCAAGTCTGAAATCCAGCATGGCAGTCACATCTTAAAGTTCCAAAATGATCTCCTTTGACCACATGCCTCACATCTGGGCCACAGTGATGCAAGAGGTGAGCTCCCATGGTCTTGGGGAGCTCTGCCCCTGTGGCTCTGCAGAGTACAGCCTCCCTCCTGGCAGCTTTCACAGGCTGGAGTTGAGCATGTGGCTTTTCTAGGCAGATGGTGCAAGCTGTCAATGGATCTACCATTCTGGAGTCTGGAGGGAAGTGACCCTCTTCACACAGCTCCACTAGGCAGTGCCCCAGTAAGGACTCTGTGTGGGGGCTCCCACCCACATCACCCTTCTGCACTGCCCTAGCAGAGGTTCTCCATGAGAGCACCGCCCCTGCAACAATCTTCTGCCTGGACATCCTGGTGTCTCCATACATCCTCTGAAATCTAGGTGAAGGTTCTCAAACCTCAATTCTTGACTTCTGTGCACCACAGGAACACCACCACATGGATGCTGCCATGGCTTGGGGTTTGCACCTTCTGAAGCCATGCCCAAGCTCTACACTGGACCCTTTCATCATGGCTGGAGTAGCTGGGATGCAGGGCACCAAGTCTCTAGGCTGCACATAGCATGGAGACCTGGGGGCTGGCCCATAAAACCACTTTATCCTCCTAGGCCTCCAGGCCTGTGATAAGAGGGGCTGCCATGAAGACCTCTAACGTGCCCTGGAGACATTTTCCCCATTGTCTTGGTGACTAACATATAGCTCCTTGTTACTTATGCAAATTTCTGCAGCTGGCTTGAATTTCTACTCAGAAAATGGGATTTTCTTTTCTATCACATTGTCAGGCTGCATATTTTCCAAGACGTTTTGCTCTGTTTCCCTTTTAAAACTGAATGCTTTTAACAGCACCCAAGTCATTTCTTGAATGCTTTGCTGCTTAGAAATTTCTTCCACCAGATACCCTGAATCTGGTATCCACAAAGCTCTAGGTCAGAGGAAAAATGCCACCAGTCTCTTTGCTAAAAGCTAACAAGAATCACCTTTGCTCCAGTTGCCAACAAGTTCATTTCCTTCAGAGACCACATCAGCCTGGACCTTATTGTTCATATCACTATCAACATTTTTGTCAAAGCCAGTCAACAAGTCTCTAGGAAGTTCCAAACTTTTCCACATTTTCCTGTCTTCTTCTGAGCCCTCCAAACTGTTCCACCCTTTGCCTGTTACTCAGTTCCAAAGTTGCTTCCATATTTTCAGGTACCTTTTCAGCAACACACCACTCCTAGTAACAATTTACTATATTAGTCCATTTTCATGCTGCTGATAAAGCTGTACCCGAGACTGGGAAGAAAACAAATTTTAATGGACTTACAGTTCCTTGTGGCTAGAGAGGCCTCACAATCATGGTGGAAGGTGAAAGGAATGTCTCACATGGTGGCAGACAGAGAAGAGACTTTGTGCAGGGAAACTTTCCTTTTTAAAACCATCAGATCTGGTGAGACTTATTCAATCTCATGAGAACAGCATGGGAAACAACCACCCTCATAATTTAATCACCTCCCACCAAGTTCCTCCCACAACACATGTAAATTGTGGGAGCTACGTTTCAAGATGAGACTTGGGTGGGGACACAGCCAAACCATATCATAGAATGTGCTTTTATTTTTAAAAAATCATTAATTTTTGATGCTAGATTTCTGAGTACCTCATAGGTATTTTTGCTGTTGTTCAAAGTTAAAACTTTTTAAGTCGAATTCTTCAGGATTTTTTAAATCTTCTTTTGTTAAGTTTAAAATGTGTGCATTTTATTAAATGTAAGTTAACTTTTAAAATTTATTGTCATAAAAACACTTAACATGAAATATACCTTCTTAACAAATTTTAAGTGCGTAAAGCATTATTGTTGAATATGGGTACAATATTGTGCAGCAGAACTCCAGATTATATTCATTTTGCTCCTTCATTCATAACTATGCTCCTTGATTAGTAACTACTCATTTCCCCTCTTTCCCATTCCTGGCAACCACCATTCTATTCTGAGTCTACGTAATTAACTATTTTAATATCTAGAAGTTTAGGAAATTGCATTGTTTCATCTAATTCTTACTATAATCCTGTAGGTGAGTCTGTTAATTTTATTTCATACATAAGAAACAATACATTTCAGACCAATTGAAAAGCTTGCCCAACAATGCAAAATGATGCAGCCACTAATAGCAGCATGCACATTCCTCAAAAAGTTAAAAATAGATATACCATATGATCCAGTAATTTCATGTCTGGGTATTTATCCAAAAGAACTGAAGTAAGGATCTTGAAGAGATAGCTACACTCCCATGTCCATTGCAGAGTTATTCACACTAGCCAAGATGTGGAAATAACCTAAACATTCATTCATAAAAGGGGAAAGAAAATGTGGTCTACACATACAATGAAATACTACTCAGCCATAAAACAGAAAGAAATTCTGCAGTATGTGACAACATGAATAGACCTGGAGGACATTATGCTAGGTAAAATAAACCAGTTACAGAACAACAAATATTGCATGAATTTTCTCTGTCTTAATCTGGAAGACAAATGTCCATACAACCTCAAAGGAATTCTAGGTGACTCTAACAATCCACAAAAATGTGAGATATTTGGGCTCAAAAAGACCCTGGAGAAGTATAACTTTTTAATTTCTTTTCCTCAAGTGACATTTTTCAAGCAATATAGGTCAAATATTTTCCTCTGAAAATCCTCTTGAGATAACTGTCAGTTTTTTTTTTTATTCAAAAAGTAGAGTAAAACTTTTTGAAAGAAGAATCTCTACAGGGATTTTTCTCTATGCACACAGCAGGGCTTGACCCTAGGTGAACATACCCCCTGACAGAGTAATTGCTCAGCTGAAAGACAGAATGGTCTCACAGTCTGAAATTCAGAGAGAAACTGGAGACTTGAAAGATAGAGACTGGACGGCATCATTACTTTGATTATTTTTTTTTTCCTGCATGATTGTGATTTTTTTTTGTGGCCCTATGTACTCGAAGTACTGCTTCCTCCTTCTTTCTCTACTGCATTTCAAACTCATATAAACGGGAAAGAAGATTGCTCTGTACATAAACGCTGATAACATTTAGCTTAGGCTATCTAAAATCATTTTTGGCATTAAAAACAAATTAGGGAAGAGTGGAAGTATAAAAAATAGCTTTTAGGTTTTTTTTAAAAGCTTTTCACTCTTTTGAAATTCCATATTAGCACAAATACATGACTACTATATTGAAATATATTTTATAAGAAATAATTTACTAAAGTCCGATTTTACCTACATTATTATTTGGCAAAATTCAAGAACGAGCCATTATGAGATCTATGCACATTTTTAAGAGTAGTATAAGATTTTTAAATGTTAGTCAATATTCTGTCTAAATTATTTTTCTGTGGTATAGGTTTGTGAGTATATTTTATATTTTCTTGCAAAATGTAATTCAGTCTAAATTTTTTTTCTCAAGATTACAACACTAAAAGCCATAGTAGATATAAAATACAATAATTCTCATCAAAAATAATTATGAATTGTAACAATCATAATCTTTTCATAATTATGTGTTAATACGTCAAATATTATAACCATTCTTTGCAATGCTTCAAGTTGCCGAGATATCATTTAATTCAACTTAATTTTTAAATTGTACTACATACTTGTAAAATCTTTTTGACTAACTTCGAGGCTGTATTTTTTACTCTATCGTCACTAAGCACTTTTTTTTTTAGAATTGCATTTAATACATTTAAATTAAAATGACATTTCTTTATATACGAAATAAAAAGGGCTAGTTATAATTAATGAGAATTTATCTCCTATATTCTGCATACTGTGTTTATACCTCTAATGAAACATCTGGAGGTATTTGAAGCATTGCAGAAGGGATAGAAATGAATGGAGAAACCAGACGCTAGAAGTAAAGGAAGTATGCTTGCGAAAAAGACCAAGATAAATACATGAAGGAAAAACTCACTTTCACTATGATATGGATTCTCTACTAATTTTTTAAATACAGCACAACAATGACCATTCAACATGACTGTTTATTTGTAAGCCATGCCCACAATCTCCACCTCCATTCGACCAAAAGATTCATAAACATGTGCACGTGCACACATTAAAAAAATAGAGAAATTAAACATATTGTATGGGGGGAAATATATAAAAAAGTATATGCACAGATTCACATAATCTTTATCAGAAATAAGTAAATATGAAGGGAGATCAGGAGATCATCTGTGAAGTCAGGAAAAACAGAGTAGGGTAGATTCTAAGGGTCAAGGAAGGGAGTGGTCCTAGGTGATAAATTGTACCCCTTTCTGGAAAATCATCTATTTTGTAATATGAGCCAAGACCTCTTGCACTCTCCTACTTTATGCAAATAAGACAAAGATGTGATTGAAGTGATAATATATTTAATTTCAAAACCAGAAATTGTTTTAGATTGAAAAGGTGTAATAAAATGAACACATTTGATAAGTTTTATTGACTGACTAAAGTATGTTGTCCATCTGAATATTAAAAGATAACCTAAAAAGTAATTTATTACTATATATTTCCATTCTCTAATGAGTTAATGAGCCTAGCTGTTTCTAATATTCAGAGCATTTTCTTTAAAAGCAAATTACATTTCAAACTGATCTAATTCTGATTAATTTTTAAATAATTGCCAAAAGGTTTCTATATCATTTATTTTTATGGTTAAAATTTTTGAAAGAGTTAAAAGTTTAATTAACCTTTTTTGTAGAAAATAATATTTTTTTGAAAAAAATATTTTTCTAAATAAAGAGTGGTACTTTATATGCTCAGAATAAATTCGATTAAAAACAAGAATTACTCAATTCCATTTTTAATTGAGATCTATAAATACTGCAGTGCAAATACTTTCACAAATACAAGTTTTTTGGGGGGTTTTCCCTCCCTGATTCCGAGAATCTTTATTTGGCAAATAGTTTTTATATGACAAAATTTATCAAGTAAATTATCATTATTTATAAATTTTAGAGTATATTGCAAAATGTAGATGATTCAAAATTGCTGACTTTATCATTTTCAATTTATTCAGTAAAGGATTATCAATTTATCCACTTAAAGACCTAAGGAAATAAATGGATTTTCCCCACATGTCCATATATTCTAAAGTTCAATTAGATAATTTTCAAATTAAATAATTTCCCATCACTAAATTTGTTTAGATTTGTCTTGCTTTTGTGGGATAAACTACAATCGCTTCTTGTTTGCATGTTTGTTTTGAATAACTGCAATTCACTAGAAAGCTTCCAAGAGTTGAATATTCTGGAGATTTATTTGTCAATTTGGGACAAAATGCAAGTAAATAAAAACAATTTTATCAGCTCTATTAATAAAAGTGTTGAATAGCATTATAGATAATCATTTCTTCAAAAGTTTATACATTCAAATTTACAATGGGCAGCAGAAATAGAAAGTAAATATTGTCATACTGGAGTAATTTTGTATATTTAGCATTGGCATCAGTCTCATATTTTTAAAAAGTTGTGATGTGACATGTATGTGTGTGTAAATTTAATAACTTCAGCTTCTTCTTAACTGGTAGTCTATTAAAGTTTGTTTGGATTAAATTATTACAACTTATTGCACGGTAATTCTGGCCTTATGAAAATGTTGTTTCCACAATGACATTTGCTTTACCAAATTCACAATGCATTTTATCAAGAAAAAATATAATATTACTGATGTAATTTTCACTGGATTTATCATAACATACTTTAAAATGTCATGTAATCTACCTTATTGAAATGTACTTTCAAAACATTACTTTGAGTTCCTAAATTGAATGAAAACACTTGAATCATTTTTTGCAGTTAGCTGATTTTCTACTTAATGCATTAGATGATATTGGTATAAAATTTTCAGCTTTTAACTGTTTGCAAATATTTTCTTCTGCCAGTTCAACTCATGCATTCACAAATATCAATTCACTCTTCTATGTGCACATGAAAACTTTGATAAAAATTATTATAATTAATTTAGATGAAAAGTCATTTGATCAAAATAATCATCAAGATAATATATGAATGGTTTTCTGCAGCTGCACATGTAATATCACTGTGTTTTTAGAATATATACTCACTGTGGAAGTTGATAATGGTGCTACTTCAGAAGACTTGATTCCTATGGTTTCATGAGTTCAGTGATATCTTCACCACCTCCATCTGCCATGGTAGACAGCTGTTGTCAAAAAATATTTTATGGAGTGACATGCTCATCATGAACATTCTTATTAAAATAGTGCACACATTTCATTTAAAAGCACTATCTTTTGTTAGCTCTTCGTCTAGCAACGGGATTTACTACAGAATTTTAAAAAATGCATCAACTAAGAAAATACACTAGAAACTTCAGATTTGATTTACTGAAGAAGTGATGAATCACCCTCACAGGAGCTTTCAGTCTATTTCTCTGTTTTTCCCTGAGACAGGGTCTTACTCTATTGCCAAGGCTGGTGTGCAATGGTGTGATCTCAGTTCACAGAAACCTCTGTCTCCTGGGCTCAGGTGAGCCTCCCACCTCAGCCTCCTGAGTAGCTAGAAATACAGGCGTGTGCCACCATGCCCAGCTAAGTTTTTTGTAGAGACGGGGTTTCGCCATGTTGCCCAGGCTGGTGTCAAACTCCTTAGCTCAAGAGATCTGCCCGCCTCATCCTCCCAAAGTGCTGGGAATTACAGATGTGAGCCCTGGCTATTCTTTATATTCATCATATAATTATCCAGCTTCTATTTTCTGTACTGTTATAAAAATAAAATAGTGCTACCAATAGAAAGAATCCTTTGTATCAATACAGAAGAGAAAAAGAACACAATTTATTATTGGATAATTATGTTAGTTTCCTATTCCTGTAAGAAATTACTCCAAACTGTGGTTTTTTTTGTTTGTTTGTTTTTTTTTTTTTTTTTTTTTTGAGACGAAGTTTCACTCTGTCACCCACGCTGGAGTGCCATGGCGCGATCTTGGTTCACTGCAAGCTCCGCCTGCCGGGTTCACGCCATTCTCCTGCCTCAGCCTCCTGAGTAGCTCGGACTACAGGCGCCCACCACCACGCCTGGCTAATTTTTTGTGTTTTTAGTAGAGACGGGGTTTCACCGTGTTAGCCAGGATGGTCTCTATCTCCTGACCTCGTGATCCGCCCGCCTCGACCTCCCAAAGTGCTGGGATTACAGGCGTGAGCCACCGCGCCCGGCCCAAACTGAGGTTTAAACTGTATAAATTTACTTACTTAATGATTTGGATATTGGAAGTCCTAAAACCAAGATGTTGGCAGGGCTGTGTACCTTCTGTACAGTTTTTGGAAATATCTGCTTTATTGTTTTTCTTCCATTTCCAAAAGGAGTTCGCATTCCTGAACTGACAGACCTAGACCTCAGCTTTTGTCACTAATTCCTTCAACTCTAAATATCTTGCCTCTCTTCTCCTTAGAAGGATGTTTGTGATTACATTAGGCTCACCTGGATGATTCAGCATACTCTCCCTCATACAGTTTAAATGTTTGTCCTCTTCAAATCTCATGTTGACATATGATCTCCACTGTTGGAGGTGAGGCCTAGTGGAAAGTGTTTGGGTATGGGGTCAGGTCCCTCATGAATGGCTTCCTACCATCCTCGCAGTAACAAATGAGCCTCACTCCATGGGTTCACATGAGATCTGCTTGTTTACAAGCGCCTAGAACTTCCTCACCTCTTTCTCTCCTGCTTCCTGTCTTACTGTGTCTGAAATTAGTGGGTTCTTTGTCTCACTGACTTCAAGAATGAAGCCGCAGACGCTCGTGGTGAGTGTTATAGCTCTTAAAGCAGCGTTTCTGGAGTCGTTCATTCTTCCCGTTGGGAGTTGTTCATTCCTCCCAGTGGGTTCGTGATCTCGCTGGCCTCGGGAGTGAAGCTGCAGACTTTCGCTGTGAGTGCTACAGCTCATAAAGGCAATGGGGACCCAAAAAGTCAGCAGCAGCAAGATTTATCGCAAAGAGTGAAAGAACAAAACTTCCATACTGTGGAAGTGGACCCTAGCAGGTTGCCAATGCTAGCTTGGGCACCTTTTATTCCCTTATCTGGCCGCACCCACATCCTGCTGATTGGTCCATTTTACAGAGAACTGATTGGTCTGTTTTACAGAGAGCTGATTGGCCCATTTTGGCAGGGTGCTGATTGGTGCATTTGCAATCCCCAAGCTAGACACAAAAGGTCCCCAAGTCCCCACTAGATTAACTAGACACAAAGCAGTGATTGGTGCATTTACAAACCTTGAGCTAGACACAGGGTGATGATGGGTGTGTTTACAAACCTTGAGCTAGACACATGGAGTGCTGATTGGTGTGTTTACAAACCTTAAGCTAGACATAAAAGTTCTCCAAGTCCCCACCGGACTCAGGAGCCCAGCTGGCTTCGCATAGCGGGTCCCTGCCAGGGCCATGGGTGGAGCTGCCCGCCAGTCCCGCCCCCACCGCCCCACCCTTCCCCGCGTGCACTCCTCACCCTTGGGCGGTAGATGGGACCGGGCGCCGCGTGGAGGAGGCCACCTCAGCGGGGCTCGGGCTTGGCGGGCTGCAGGTCCTGAGACCTGCCCCGCGAGAAGGCGGCTGAGGCTGGCAAGAATTCGAGCGTGGCTACGGCGGGCCGGCAGTGCTGGGGGACCTGGCGCCCCCTCTGCAGCTGCTCGCCCAGGTGCTAAGCCCCTCACTGCGCGGGCACCGGCCGGCCGCTCGGAGTGTGGGGCCCGACGAGCCCACCCCCAACCGGAACTCGCGCTGGACCGCGAGCGCCGCACGCAGCCCTGGTTACCGCCGGCGCCTCTCCCTCCACACCTCCCGCCAGCAGAGGGAGCCAGCTCTGGCCTCAGCCAGCCCCCAGAGAGGGGCCCCACAGCGCAGCGGCGGGCTGAAGGGCGCCGCAAGCGCTGCCAGAGTGGGCGCAGAGGCGAAGGAAGCGCTGAGAGTGAGCGAGGGCTGTGAGGGCTGCCGGCAGGCTGTCACCTCTCATTACCATGTCATACACCTGGTCCTCCTTCATCTTCCGCCATGATTGTAGGATTCCTGAGGACCCTAACGAGGAATAGATGCCAGCACCACACCTCCTGTAGAGCCTGCAGAACCGTAAGCCAAAATAAGCCTCTTTTTTTATAAATTACCTATTCTCAGGTATTCCTTAATAGCAATGCAGAGGGACTAAAACACTCCCCATCCTAAAATTCTTGACTTAAATGCATCTGCAAATTCCTTTTTACTACGCACATATTTACAGGTTCAGGGTATTAGGGCTTGGACTTTAAGGAAATTCCATTATCCTTTGACCACAGTAAACTTTAATAGATTTATATGAATGTAATTGATCACAAAAGGTAACACTAAGGATAAAATCTTACACATTTTATACAGCAAACAGAAGAAAGAATAACTTAAAGAATTAGACCTCCTAACAATTTCCTTTACATGTTGTGAGATATCACTGGGCCACTTTTAGTGATACATTTTCACATAGCTGGAGGTTTTGAGTCTGCCGACTTGGAGCTATTGCTTCATTGTAAAACCTGGAATATCTAGCTTAATCCTTGGCGAGATTTATCTCTATTTCACAGGTTATAGTAAGGACTCTAACTCAGTATGTCTTCAAGGAAACAATTTTTTTAAAGAGGGAAGTGGATTAAAAAAATGTACCTGATTGTATTAAACAGGCAAGAAAAACTTTATGTAGGACTATTGCAATAGAGATCAAGACTATTGCAATAAGGTTTGGGGGAAGAGATTGAATTCAATGCCACAAAACAAAAGGTGGAAGAGTTATTGAGTGCTGAGGTGAGGTAGTGGAAAATTACTGGAGGATATTAGAGGAGAGATTGGTCAATGTAATTAGGCCAAGTGTGTTTGCTTATTGGTACTTATAGAAGTTAGACTTATACTGTCTCACAGAGACTAAGAAGATGGGGTACTAATTTCTTGATAATTGCATTGCAAAGAAATTTTTCCCAGGTCCTTGAGAAACACATTCCTGAGTTACATAACTGGCAAAAGGCTGGAAAAAGATTATATCTCAAAAGGAAGAGAAATAATTTACCATTGAGAATTTTCTAAATTAAATGCTGTAAGAAAAAGTGGTCAGGGGCCTAGAGTCAGGAACAAACCTGCTTAATGTTTAGTCACACTTAGGTGGGTATTAAGTAGGGACATGTTATCTTTTTCCTTTACAAATGGTGAAAGACATTTTTATTGATCATTATATTTACTTACATTTAAAGTTTAAGTTTCTACATTTTTTACTGGTTTCACGGATTTTAAGCCTGACTTCTGGTTAGTTTAACAAGGGACCTTTAATGACCACAATATTTTAATACGTCTCCCATTATGCTGGATGGTGTTACTGAATTTCACTATTTTTACAAAAGAATGCTTCATCTTATCAGTGAACAAGTACCCTTGAAATGTAATTTTTAATTACTCTTATGGACTGAGTGCTTGTGTCCTACCGAAATTCTTATGTTGAAACGTTATTGCTCAATGTGATGATATTAAGAAGTGGGATTTTGAAGGTAATCAAGTTTAGATAAAGTCATGGGGGTTGAGACTTAATGAATAGAATTAGTGCCCTTAGAAAAGAGACTCCAAACAGCTCCCTTGCACCTTCCAACATGTGAAGATACAGAGAAGAGATGGCCATCTAGGGAGTTGGTCCTCATCAGACATTTAATCTACCAGTTACTTAGTCTTGGACTTCCCGGCCACCAGAAGTATGATAGATAAATTTCTGATTTTCTAAGCTTCCAATCTATGGCATTTTTTGTTGCACACCGAGCTGACCAAAAGAGTTACCTTGAGCCAGAATCTATCCAAGAAAAGAGGGAAGAATTACTGATGGTTTTAAAATTTAGCCATGTGTTCACTGAACATGCATCTTACACCTTACTAGACAAGGGCATAGGAAAAATTGGAAATACAATGCAAAACCACCATGGCTTACATTACTGTAACTTTGAATAACATTTCACAATTAGACAGCTAACATTTTGATATAAATTCTGAACCAGGAAAAACCTAGGAATAACACAAGTAAACTAAAGACATTATAGGCAAGCCATGACTTATGTTCATTATTGGAATCCAGAAATAACACATTGTAAAGCACCTGAATTGTGACAATTAGAAATGCCTCTATAACCCTGAGACAATCAGAAACAAGGTATCTATTTGTTCTATGGATGATATTCACCCAGATACATTGATGTGTATGGGATGCAACAGAAAGCGAAAATTAGCTCCAGGAAAGTTTCTTTGGAAAGAACTGTAGCCAGAGATAAAAAATAGATAGAAACTAAATTTCAGCCAGGAAAGTGACAGACATATCCAGGAGCAATCCTAGAATGGATCAGGCTCTGCTTTTGAAAGTGGACAACGAAAAGTGCAGAGATTGCTCAGGAATGAAAATATTAGTCTGTAGAGTTAACTAACGATTGAAAACTCAGAATATTCAGAGTTTTGAAGCATGACAGACAATGGGTCCCTAATTTGTTTTCTCTCCGTAAGTAATAAGACAATAAAAAGGCTGCTGAATAATGGCATTTCAATGTAAGCAGGAAAATGAATGCACAGTCAAATCTTTCTGTAAAAAGTGTTAAAATTTTTCAGCTGGATAATCTGTTTATGCAGGTATATTTGGGTGTCTATGTGCATATTAATATGAATGGAAATACTGAATACTGTAAATGTTTGAAATTTATAATACATAATCAATGTTCTTTTCAGTGTTACCTAGTTAAGTAAATTGCTGTCCTTCAAAATTCTTAATTTTGCTATATATATATTGTGTATATATGTATATATATGTTATTATATATATGTAAAACTTGATACATAGAAAAAAGTTCAGTACTTCATTATTGTAGCATTTAGGTAAGAACTGTGATAAAAATAGATCACTGACATTTGTGTTTTAGTATTTATATCTATTTATTTAAATAGTAATTTGAAGGAAAATGAACCATTCAAACATGCAAGATGATTTTAGATGGGAAAGAATAGACATGAACTATGAAGTGTCAGAAGACAAAATTTTATGCTGGGCTTTTCTTTGTCTTCTGTGTCTAGAAACAGAAAGTCACCTTGGAGCACATCATCTTTGTTCTGCTAAGAAGTCATATGATTATTCCCTTTTATTCATGCAAATATTATGCCAGGAAGCACATTTATACACGGTCAGGGTAAAAAAAGGACCTATTGTGTCTTGACAAAGGCAGCTTCTTACAAAACCTTCTTGCTGCAGAGCTGTCACAAAGAAAAGAGAGGGAAAGTCTGCATGCTGACCAAGTAGCCTCCTGGGAGGAAAGGGCGTGATACTTTCACTCCTTCCACTCTATTGTTCACATTTTCAAGACTCCTCCAAAGGAATAAGGTGGTGGAGGAAAGTACACACATAACAAGAACACATCATGAAAACATCAAGCACTATGAAAGCTTCTGGACTCTCATTCATGATCAATACAATAAACTAAATTTAATGGAGGAAGGCTGGCTTCAGCAAATCATATGGCTAAGGGTGATCGTAGAGTTTTGGAGAAATGTAAGAATAATTGTTGAATGTGTATGAGCTGCTGTGCTTATACAAGCCAATGTACTCAGAAGTGATTTGGACCAAGCAGAAGTCACTCATCAGTAGGGGATGAATAGTCATCACAAAAGTCAGGGGCAGCCGGCAAACTTGCTAACTCAAGTCCCTGGGAAGTAGCAGCGGTACCAAATTGATTAGATCCCAAGTTTTCTCTCTTCTGAGTATTGGAAGCAGGATGAAATTTAATTGGATATCAAAAAAGTCCTGGATGTTGGTCAATTAGGCGAGATCTTTAAAATGAAAGAAATTCCTGGTAAAAGGAGTAAATCAAGGCAGGATGGGAGAGGAGGCGTAGAAATATGCAATATTAAAGAAAATAAAGATTTGCCTTATAGGCTGCTATGAAATGACCTAGGACAGTTGAGTTACTCACGTGTAATGTATATTTTAAATTCATAATCTCAGCTTCATTCCCATAAGCATGCTATAACACAATATGATACAATGAAAATGAATTTCAGGCTGAATTCTGCCACACATAGGAATATTAATTAGTGAACAATTAAGGAAATAACTACAGAACTTGATTTATAAGCTTGATGAAAACTAGGTCTCTGACCTTTTGGCAGATCTAACAGGACTTGTGCAATAAAACTAGTTGCGTTCAGTTTACCTCCTAGTTCAGTCACACACCAAAATATATAGCTAGGATGTGGTATGCCAACATCTTTGTTGCCATTGACAGGGGAAAAAATTCCTGATTTTTTCAAAAGCCAACTAAGCACTCTTGATTGTCTGTGCTAAAGGGATTTAAAACTAATCACAAAGATGCAAATCAAGGTGACTGAGCAAATATAACAACATGGTTTTTTTTGTTTGCTTTTAATTTTTATCTATATTATGTGATAATACTTCCCTCCAAAGCATGAAAAAGCATTTGGGAAAATATCTGGGAAAGTTATTTGTAAGTATAATAGGAATTTTAAAAATGAATGGGGATCATAACTGAACTGCAAATTTTAGAGGTGGAAAAAAACTATATATAAATATATCAGCTATTTCAAAAGCTAATTAACTTGGGTTAGTATAATAGACTTGAGGTAAGAGCAGAAAAATGGGTATTTAATATGTCCAAGTATGGATGAGTCCACATTTTGGCTGGATTTGTGGTTACACAGATGTTTGTGATAATTCAGCAAGCCGGGCATTTGTAATTTGTCTAGTTTTCTGTAAGAATAAATGTTTCAAAATAATAAAAAAAAAACTAAATGTATGGTAGATCTTTAGTGTGGAAGTTCTCACATTTACTAACATTTTGCCTAAATTACACTTTAGCTTGTATGTAAAAAATGAGTTTCTTAGGATAAATGAACATTTTAGTTGTATATTGAATAGAGATGTAGAAGAACTTCGTAAAGTTTTTTAGTGTAGCCACTGTATACGATAAATGAAAAAGTGTGACATAGTAAGAGTTAAGAAAGGTAAGCAAGGACAAAGTAAGAATTATTTCACATACCCAAATCAACAAGTTCCTATGTTATTCTTTGGGCAATGTGAAGTCATTTAAATTGTGTAGAACCAGTGGATGAAATAAGAATAAAATTCTAGGGATCATTTATATGAAATGGTTGAATAGAAGTTCATTATATGAACATAAACTTAATGCTATTATTTTATCATCCTCAGCATTATAGCTAAGGAAACTGATTTACAGTGTACTTTAGAAATTTGCACATTTGGCAAGTAGTGGAGGCAAGGTTGACACACAGCCCAATCCGAATGGGTCTACCACAGAATTACTGAAATAAAGGAGTGTAAATGTAAGTCATTACAGATAAGGAAGTTGAGGGACAAATTCTGGAGAATTGGATAGATGATAAATACTATTGTTTCTTTCTGAATTTATTATAGGTTTGGAATAAAGGAAATGCTATATTTTGTATGTGTCCTCCAAAAAGCAGGCGGTAGAAACTTAATCATAATTGTAATAGTATAAAGAGGTAAGATCTTTAAGAGGTGATTAAGCCATAAGGGCTCTTCTCTCACGAGTGAATTAATGCTTTTTTCTCTGAAGTGGGTTTCTTTTAAAATGATGAGGTTCAGACCCCTTTTGCTCTCTCACACACTCTTGCCCTTCCACCTTCCGCCATGAGATGTTACAGCAAAAAGGCCAGCACCTTAATTTTGAGCTTCCCAGCCTCTAGAACTGCAAGTAAATACATGTCTGTTCTTTATAAGTTACCCAGTCTGTGGTATTCTGTTAGTTATAGCAGCACAAAATGGTCAAAGACAAATATCAACTGGGATTCAGGTATTAAATGTCTACAGAGATATAGTAATAACAGAGAGACCTTCCAGAAAAAGGATTGCAGCAGATTGCATGCTGATTACTCGGGCTTTAAAGCAGAATGGTGCTTTACATGAGGCCCACAGAGATTTCTGAAAGTGTTCCTGCAGGTTTACAACAGAATTTGCAAATTATGCAGGGATGGGTGAGAAAATTTCACTTATGATGCTACAAAGGGATTTTTGTTTGCTTGATGACAAGATTTCAGCTAAAGAAAGAAATTAGATGCAGCATTTTATGAAGAAAAAACTACAAAGTGTTACGTAATTTAGGTTTTTATGTTAAATGTACCCAATAAATTCTTTGTGTTTATTCAGGGCTTGAGTAGAATCTGTCAAATACAACTCAACTCACTTTATCTATTTATAAAACAATGGTAATCTTAAGTGTTATGGCTTAAATATGGTTTGTCCCCACCAAAACATATGTTGAGTCTTGATCCCCAGTGTGGCAGTGTTGGAAGGTGGTGTTTTTAAGAAGTGATTAGTCCATTAGGAGGCATTAATGCCATTCTCCAGAGAGCGAGATCTGCTTTCCTAGGACTGGATTAGTTACTACCACAAGAACGAATTGCGATGAGCAAGACCGCCTCTTGTGTTTGGTCACTTTTTGCATACACTTGCTTCTCCTTCTTCTTCTCTTCTGTATTATGATGCAGCATGAGAGCCTCATCAAAAGCTGACCAGATGCTGTGGCCTGATCTTGGACTTCCTAGCCTCCAGAATAATGAACTTAAACCACCCTCCTTTATAAATTATCCAGTCTCGTTATTCTGTTATAGCTTCAGAAAATGGGCTGACATGAAGGAAAATGGTAGATGTCTTAAGAACTAATATTTGCATAGGAAGAAAGAAAGATATGTAGGTTATAAATATTTGATTATTCTTTTGAATATAATACAAAGAAAAATATAGAATTATGAGTATTTAGTTGGGTGAGGTATTCAAATTATCTGTCAATACCCGACAACCTTTATGTGTTGCAACAATGTACTAAATGAAAGGTGCAACAACAATCAGGATTTGGTTGTATGGGTCATGGTTATATTACTAGGAAAATAAATATGCATCATGTGATACCAGTTTCTGATAGGATGAGAGACAGTGTTTTAATAATTTAAAATGGTGTTTTAGATTGCTGTTGCACACATAGTGGTGGGACCATTTCTGGAAATTTCCATTGTCACTATTTGGGTTAGCCTTCTGAAAAGCTACCAGAGACAAGAAATAAGTTATTTATAATAAATTCATTTGTAGGTGTTGTATCTTAGATGACTCATTGCAAACTGACTTCATCAAAGAGCATGTTTAAGGTAAATAAATTACATAGGTAAAGAACTACTTATTCTGCTATTAAATATTTATCTATCCACTCTCTAGCTTTAGTGTATTTAATCTGCCTAACTCTAAATGACCAAAGTATATAATTACTTTGAACCAATTTTAATGAAGAGCCAAATGTGCATAAAAATTAGATCAAATACTTATAGAAAATTAAATATTTTATATTTTATATTACTTTCCAAATATTAAATTATTTATACCTAGATAAGTAGATAGGTAGACACTTAGAGATAATCAGTGGAAACATTTACAATAAATTTTAATTTTAATGTATATATTCTATTGTGATAGCATACATTCTTAAACCAAGAAGCATAAGCACAGTATTTAAACAGCAATAATTCAATAATTATCAAGGCAGTTGAATAATCGTTACTCTACAGGAGATAGGATGATAATTATTGGCAATATCAAATAGATCTCTTGAAAATAAAAAGACAGGACAATTATTTAAAAATGGAGTTTGCATATATATACTCCTGTTTTGATTAAGAATATTTTAAAAAATTACCACAATGTAAATATAGTCATTTAGTACTCTTTCAGTTGTTGAAAATTAGAGTGAAATAATATATTAATAGGTATAT
This sequence comes from Homo sapiens, assembly GCF_000001405.40. Taxonomy (NCBI): domain Eukaryota; kingdom Metazoa; phylum Chordata; class Mammalia; order Primates; family Hominidae; genus Homo; species Homo sapiens. The sequence continues at coordinate 86,784,248 of NC_000013.11, read as the reverse complement.
CCAAAAGATGATTAAAGATTTAAATAAACAACTCCCTTACATTTTCTCGAATGGAGATTTTCAACTGTGAAATAATAATAGTAAGAAAACATATATTTCTATAAATGTCATATCTGAAGATAATTATAAGCATTGTAAAGCAAAAAACATTAATATTTTAAATTTATGCTAAATAAATAAGCTTACATATTACTTTTTACTGAGCAATTAAAACTCTCTAAAAGTTTAATAGGTTATTGACACACATTTTAGTAAAAATGGTTCAGCTCACATTTTCTCAAGGCATGTTAAGACAAGCCATATGGTTTATAATTTGCAGCTTTCATGAAAGAGTAAACAATCCAGTTTGTTTGCAAATTAAATCATCTAAATAGATTTATTTAAATACATTAAGTGCAATTAGGTTAATTTTCCCTTCATCCATTTAACAGAGCTTATCCTATGTTTGTCTAGGCAGTTGATCAAGTATTTTTGATCAGTGTCATAAGACATAATCATGTAAGTGTGACCTGAGGAAACAAGCTTACATGGTTCAGTATAACTGAGGATTTTACAATCTATGGCCATTTTCAGCATTGTCTTTTTACTTACATGGGAATAGTAATGAAGTTTAGGTTTTCTCTAATGAATCATTGGTTAGTTATTAACATTTATTAATCTACTAATGGATAAATGCAGATGAACTAATGGATTGGCAGAAGGGAGAACTTGATATTGATAGAATCATTAGAAACTTGCTGAAAATAAGTAAATTACACATACTTATTATTTTCACTGGGTTTTACTGTGTATGTAATGCATTATGTCATGATGATGTATAGCAGTTTTAATGTCAACAAGTTATTTGCAGTCATTTGCTGAGATAAGTGTATGTACAATAACAAATAATGCTAAAAAGAACATATTACCATTTATTCTCTGCACTTGCATATCAATATATGCATATCAATATATGTATTAGGTCAATTCCTAGAGACGTAGTTGAGGAGTCACAGCATATGTATATTTTAAAAATTACCAGGTATTGCCCAGCTCTTCTTACACTCCCCCCCCAAAAAAAAATACTATAGAAAAACTTTGAAGTATCAAAAAACATATGGAAATGCAGGTTTGTTCATACTCTCCCTGTAAATATGTATTATAAGTTATTTGGATTTAAAATACTAACACTTAAAATATCACCTTGTTATTTTAGTTTACATTTATTTGACAATGACCAAATTCAATATCATGTGAAACCTGTAAAATTAATTAAAATACATTATTTTTTAATGTAAAATGTCTGATGTATGCCTTGAAAACAGTACTGTTAGTTGACATATAAAGAGCCTGTAAATATATCAGGCATATCAAGGAATTTATCTAGAAGCTAAGCATAGAAGTTACTAACAATTTTCTTGTGAGTCATTTTTTTTTAGTTTAAGATATTTTGTATTTTCACTTCAGCCTCTTATTGGTTGCCTTCCACCACCAATAAGACTGGTTGTGGGCCACTCCTTCACTTACATAGGCTGTAACCAAGTAACCAATGGAAAACCTCTAGAGGGTATTTACATCCCAGAAAATTCTGTAACCAGTGCTCTTGAGCCACTTGCTCAAGCCCACTCGCACTCCGTGGAGTGTACTTTTGTTTCAATAAATCTGCTTTATTCTTTCATTGCTTTTTGTTGCTTTATTCTTTCATTGCTTTGTGTGTTTTGTTCAACTCTTTGTTCAAAACACCAAAAACCTGGATGGCTCATAGTCAAGACACACCAACAGTAACACTAGAAAGGGGGCTGAAGCAAGGGAGCCAAGCAGCATTCTTCTGTGGGACCCATTCACATGGCACATCACAAGTTAAGACCCACTGACTTGCAATACAAGCCAGCCAGTGGCAGCAGACTGGAGACTGCCTGAGATGAACTAGTTTCCAGGGGGAGGGGCAGCTGCCATCTCTGTGGCTCAAGATGGTTGTTTTGGCCTGCCAGCCCTGGGGAGTCTGGACAGTCCACACCAGAATTCCCCACACCACAGTATACAGCTACTGTGGCAGATCATGGACAGACTGATTCTTTAAGTGGGACCTTGATCCATTCCTACTCACCAGGTGGGGCCTCTCTGCAAGAATTTCAGCAACTTCAGCCAGAATTTTATGGACAGAATGCTGATATCTCCCTGGGACGGAGCCACTAAGGGGAGACCTGCCACCATATCTGCAGTGAAACTGACAGCCTTTCCTGCCTACTTGCTCTGGAAAGTCTTAGTGGTCTGAATAAGGAGGATTCCCCATGCACAGTGCACCTGCTCTGCCAAGGGACAGCCAGATTGTTTCTTTAAGATGGTTCCTGATTCAGTTTTTCCTGACTAGGTGAGACATCCCAACAGGGGTCTCCAGACACATCCTACAGGAGCATCTGGGCCAGCATCAAGTCAGTGCTCCACTGAGACACAGCCCCCTGAGGAAGAAGCAGGCTGCCATATTTGCTGTTTTGCAGCCTTCAGTGGTGATACAGCCAGGTGTGGGAGGATCCGAGGTGATTAGGGTCTGGAGTGGACCCCCAGCAAACCACAGCAGCTCTATGGAAGAGGGGCTTGACTGTTTAAAGAAAAACAAACAAACACAAAGCAACAGCAACAGCTTCAACAAAAAAGACCTCACCAAAACCCCATTCAAGGGTCAGCAACCTCAAAGATCCAAGGGAGATAAGCCCACAAAGATGAGAAACAATCAACACAACAATGCCGAAACCTCTAAAAGTCAGAATGCCTCTTCTCCTCCAAATGATTGCAACACCTCTCCAGCAAGGACACAGAACTGGGCAGAGGCTGATATGGATAAATTGACAGAAATAGGCTTCAGAAGGTGACAATAACAAACTTCACTGATTTCAAGGAGCATGTTCTCACCCAGTGCAAAGAAACTAAGAATCATTGTAAAACATTACAGAAGCTGGTAATCAAAATAGCCAGTTTACAGAGGAACATAAATCACCTGATGGAGCTGAAAAACACAACACGAGAACTTCATAGTGCAGTCACAAGTACCAATAGCCGAATAAACCAAGCAGAGGAAAGAATTTCAGAGCTTCAAGATTATCTTTCTGAAATAAGACAGGAAGACAAGAATAGAGAAAAAAGAATGAAAAGGAACAAAACCTTCAAGAAATATGGGATTATGAAAAAAGATGGACCCAGTGATTAATTGGGGTAACTGAAAAAGATTGGGTGAATCTTTTAATCTTTTACCAAGTTGGAAAATATACTTCAGGATATCATCTGGGAGAACTTCCCCAACCTAGAAAGACAGGTCAATATTCAAATTCAGTAAATCCAGAGAACATCAGTAAGATACTCCACAAGAAGATCAACCCGAAGACACATAATCATCAGATTCTCCAAGGTTGAAATGAAAGAAAAAATGTTAAGGGCAGCCAGAGAGAAAGGCCAAGTCATCTACAAAGGGAAGCCCATCAGACTAACAGCTGACCTCTCAGGAGAAACCCTACAAGCAAGAAGAGATAGGGGGCCAAAATTCAACATTCTTAAAGAAAATAATTTCCAACTCAGAATTTCATATCCGGCCAAACTAAGCTTCATAGGAGAAGGCAAAATGAGATCTTTTTCAGACAAGCAAATGCTGAGGGACATTGTCACCACCAGGTCTGTCTTGGAAAACCATTACCAGCCACTACAAATACACACTAAAATACTCAGACCAGTGACACTCTAAAGCAACTACATAAACAAGTCTGCAAAATAATCAGCTAACATCATGATGATATAGGGTCAACATCACACATAACAATATTAACCTTAAATGTAAATGGGCTAAATGACCCACTTAAAAGACACAGAATGGCAAGCTGAATAGAGAATAAAGCCCTATTGGTGTGCTGTCTTCAAGAGACACCTCTCATGTGCAAAGACACACATAGACTCAAAATACAGGGATGGAGGAAAATTTACCAAGCAATTAGAGCACAGGAAAAAGCGGAAGTGGCAATTTTAGTTTCTGACAAAACAGATTTAAGGAAGCAAAGATCAAAGATCAAAAAAGACGAAGAGAGTATTGCATAATGGTAAAAGGACCAATTAAACAAGAAGAGCTATTTTATTTAAATATATATATATATATATAAAAATATATATATATTTATATATATATAAATATATATAATATATATAAATATATTTATATATAAATATATATATAAATATATTTATATATATAATATATATATAAATATATATAATATATATAATATATTATATATAATATATATATTATATATAATATATATAATATATATATTATATATATATATTATATATATAAATATATATATAATATATTTATATATATAATATATTTATATATATAATATATATATATAAATATATTATATATATAAATATATAATATATATAAATATATATAATATAATATATATAAATATATAATATATAAATATATATATATAAATATATGTATAAATATATAAATATATATATATAAATATATGTATAAATATATATATAAATATATATATATAAATCTCTTTGTACATCTCTAAGAACTTGCTTCATGAGTCTGGGTGTTCCTTTATTGGGTATATATATATATGTGTGTGTGTGTGTATATATATATGTATATGTGTATATATATATATGTATATATATATATATGTAGACTCCCACACAATAATAATCGGATGTATTAACACTCCACTGACAATGTTAGACAGATCACAGAGACAGAAAATAAAGATATTCAGCACCTGAACTCAGCTCTGGCTCAAGGGGACCTGAGAGATACCTATAAAACTCTCCACTCAAGAACAACAGAGTGTGCATTCTTGTCATTATCACATGGCACTTACTCTAAAATTGATCACAAATGGGAAGTAAAACACTTCTCAGCAAATTCAAAAGAACTGAAATAATAATAAACAGTCTGTCAGATCACAGCACAATCAAATTAGAACTCAAGATTAAAAAACTAACTCAAAACCACACAATTACATGGAAATGGAACAACCTGCTCCTGAATGACTTCTAAGTAAATAATAAAATTAAGGCAGAAATCAAGAAGTTATTTGAAACTAATAAGAACAAAGAGACAACATAACAAAACATCTGGGACAGAGCTAAAACAGCGTTAAGAGGAAAATGTATAGCACTAAATGCTCACATCAAGAACTAGAAGGGTCACAAAGTGACAACCTAAAATCATAACTAAACCAGACAATCAAGAGCAAACCTCCCCCAAAACTAGCAGAAGACAAGAAATAACCAAGATCAAAGTGGAACTGAAGGAGAGAGAGACACGAAAAACCCTTTAAAATTAATGAATCCAGGAGCTTGTTTTTTTTAGATACAATAAATTAAATAGACCACTAGCTAGACTAGTAAATAAGAAAAGAGAAAAAAATCAAATAGACACAATAAGAAATGATAAGTGGTATTTCACCAATGACCCCACAAAAAGACAAAAACCATCAAATAATATAGTAAACACCTCTATGCACATAAACTTGAAAACCTAGAATAAACAGATAAATTCCCAAACTCATACACCCTCCCAAGACTGAACCAGGAAGAAATTGAATCCTCATATAGACCAATAATGAGTTCTGAAATTGAGGCACTAATAAATAGCCTACCAACTAAAAAAAGCCCAGGGCCAGATGAATTTACAGCACAATTCTACCAGAAGAACAAAGAGGAGCTGGTATCATTTCTACTAAAACTATTCCAAACAATTAAAATGGAGGGACTCCTCTCTATCTCACTTTGTGAGGCCAGCATCATCCTGATACAAAAACCTGGCAGAGATACAACATGAAAATAAAACTTAAGGCCAATATCCCTGCTGAACATCAATGCAAACATCCTCAATAAAATATTGGCAAACCGAATCCAGCAGCATAATGAAAAGCTTATCCACCATAATCAAGTTGGCTTCATCCCTGGGATGCAAAGTTGGTTCAACATCTGCAAATCAATAAATGTAATTAGTCACATAAACAGAAATAAAGACAAAAACTGCATGATTATCTCAATAGGCACAGAAAAGGCCTTCAATAAAATTAAACGTCAAATTATCTTTGTTTGCAGATGACATAATCCTATGTGTAGAAACCCCATAGTCTCAGCCCAAAAGCTTCTTAAGCTGAAAAGCAACTTCAGAAAAGTCTCAGGATTCAAAATCAATGTGAAGAAATAACTAGCATTCCTATACACCAACAACAGGCATGCAGAGAGCCAAATTGTAAACAAACTCTCATTCACAGTTGCTACTAAGAGAATAAAATACCTGTGAATGCAGCTAACAAGAGAAGTGAAGGACCTCTTCAAGGAGAACTACAAACCGCTGCTCAAGGAAGTCACAGAGGAAACAAATGGAAGAACATTTCATGCTCATGGATAAGAAAAATCAATAAAGTTAAAATGTCCATACTGCCCAAAATAATTTATAGATTCAGTGCTATTCCTAAAAACTACCATTAACATTCTTCACATAATTAGAAGAAACTAATTTAAAATTCATGAAAGAGCCTGTATAGTGAAGACAAACCTAAGTAAAATGATTAAGTTTGGAGGCATCATGCTACTCAAACTACACTACAAGGTGACAGTAACCAAACAGCATGGTACTGATACAAAAACAGACACACAGACCAATGGAACAGAATAGAGAACTCAGAAATTAGACCTCACATGTAAAACCTCATGTGTAAAACCATCTGATCTTTGACAAACCTGAGAAAAGCAACGGGGAAAGGATTCCCTGTTTAATAAATGATGCTAGGAGAACTGGCTAGCCATATGGAGAAAATTGAAACTGAGCTCCATCCTTACACCTTATACAAAAATTAACTCAAGATGGATTAAAAACTTAAATGTAAAACCCAAAACTATAAAAACCCTAGAAGCAAATCTAGGCAATCCTATTCAGGACATAGGCATTGGCAAAGATTTCATGATGAAAACACCAAAAGCAGTAACAACACAAGCAAAAATTAACAAATAGAATCTAATCAAATTAAAGAGTTTCTGCACAGCAAATGAAACTGTCATCAGCGTGAACACACAATCTACAGAATGAGAGAAAATTTTTGCAATCTATCTAACAAAGTTCTAACATCCAGAGTATACAAGGATATTTACAAGAATTTGAGTACTGCATTTAACAACGTGCTTTAGCCACAGCCAGTTTGTACCTGTGGCCACCTCCCTTATTTGCCTGAAGTGTGAAGGATTTATCTCAGTAAATAAAATACTGTGGAAAAATAAATAAATAAAAATGTGCACACTGCAAGGGAATGAAAAACCTTCAAGAGACCTCTGCCATCCCAATCCCATAAGAGACAAATTTACAAGAATAAGACAACTCCATTAAATGTGGGCAAAAGACATGAACAGATACTTCTCAAAAGAAGACATTTATGCAGCCAAGAAACATGAAAAACAGCTTAACATCACTATCATTAGAGAAATGCAAATCTAAACCACAATGAGATAGCGTCACACGCTAGTCAGAATGCAATTTTAAAAAGTAAAGAAAGAACAGATGCTGGTGAGATTGCAGAGGAAAAAGGAATGCTTTTACACTGTTGGTGGGAATATAAATTAGTTCAACAATTGTGGAAGACAATGTGGCAATTTCTCAAAGATCTAGAATCAGAAATACCATTTGATCCAGCAATCTAATTACTGGGTGTATACCCAAATAAATATAATTTTTATAAAGATATAGGCACACATATGTTTGCTGCAGCACTATTCACAAACATCAAAGACATGGAATCAGCTCAAATGCCCCTCAGTGATAGACTGGATAAAGAAAATGTGGTACATATACACCATGGACTACTATGCAGCCATAAAAAGGAATAAATTATGTCTTTTGCAGGGACATGGATGGAACTGGAAGCCATTTTCTTCAGCAAACTAACAGGGACAGAAAATAAAATAATGCATGTTCTCACTTATAAGTGGGAACTGAAGGTTGAGAACACATGGACACATGTAAGGGGAACAAAACACTTTGGGGCCTGTTGGAGGGGGTGGGACAAGGGAGAGTATCAGGAAGAATAACTAATTGATGATGGACTTAATACCTGGGTGATAGGTTGATCTGCGCAGCAAATCACCATGGCGCACGTTTGCCTATGTAACAAACCTGCACATCCTGCACATGTACCCAGAACTTAAAATTAATGTTAAATAAAAAAAATCCACTGCATATTGTTATTCCCTAAGTGTCTATTGTATTTCTAGAAGTTCTGATTGGATTTTCTTTAAAATATCTCTCTTTAGAAATTTTTTACACACATTCTGAATTGTTTTTAAATTCTGTATGTTTTTTCACCTTTCTCTGGTGTCTCCTTGAGTAGTTTAATCCACCTTTTTAAGTTCTTTATCTGGTATTTCAAAGATTTTATCTTGGTTTGAATCCACTGCTGGAGGGTTAGGATGATCTTTTAGATGTGTTATAGAACTCTCTCATATTACCAGAATTATTTTTCTGGTTTCTTCTCATTTGAGTATACTATTTTTTTCTAATTATTCCTGAATTTATTTTTGATATGACTGTGTTTTTTTTAAATTTTCCCCCTTAAGAATATAACTTTAATATTGATAGTTTATTGTAGCCTAATTTGGCTCTTGGTGCTTTCAGGGATGAAGACTGTATGAATTCCTTGGATATAGAGTCTTCATACGATGGCTTTCTCAGATGCTGGTTGTAGCACCAATGTGTTTGGTGTGTGAGCAAGTTCACTGCCTCTTATGGGATTTGGATGGCAGAGGTCTCTTGGTGCTTTTTCATTCCCCTGTGGTGTGCACATTTTTATTTATTTATTTTTTCCCCGGTATTTTATTTATGGAGAGAAATCATTCACATTTAAGGCAAATAAGAGAGGTGGTCACAGGTAAATATAAATTCTACTCAGCTTATGCTATTTATTAATTGTGACATGTAAATGTTTCTGCATGTATGTTAAAGTTCAATATAAAGTTAAAATTGTTTTGTGCTGCTTTCTTCTTATGATTGTTAATAGCTCGTATGGGATAGGGTTTGTCTGTTCAAAGTAATTTTTGAAATGTACTTGTTACATCTTCTTAACTGATGAAGAGAGGGAGGATTGTCTTGACAATTGAAGACTTTTTAATTATAGCTTTTGGAGAGTAAAATTACTATCTCTCTTTTTCTGCCTCTTTCTAAATCTGTGTGTGTCTTCTGTCTCTGTCTCTCTTCCTTTACTGACTCCTTAGATAGTGATTCTAAGTGCATTTGTTGTAAATTTTTCTTTAATAGCTGAAACCTTCCTGTTGTGAATTTATGGTTCTTCTGTTTCTGTTTGACTTTAAATAAGCTAAATGCTACTGTTAGTGTTTTTCAGGGTCTATATTATTGAAACGTATCAACAGGTTTTTCTTTTACCCATAGTGTTGCTTCCAAACACAACATCATTGTGAACTCAAGTTTATACTTTAGGAAGTCCATTTTATATAATATAAATATAAATAATTAAATGTTTGTTGTAAGTCTGAAAATAACTTTATTTTGAATCAATCTTGAATGATATCTTGCTTGAGCATCAAACTCTAGATTGCCAATTGTTTCCTCAACAACCTCCAGATACTATACTCTTTTTATCTGCTGTCTCTTTTACCTAAAGGAAAAAGATGGACTCAATTGTATTACAATTTTGTTTGTTTGTTTGTTTTTGAGAGGGAGTCTTGCTCTGTTGCCCAGGGTGGAGTTCAGTGGGGTGATATTGGCTCACTACAACTTCCGGCTCCTGGGTTTAAGCGGTTCTCTTGCCTCAGCTTCCTGAGTACCTGGGATTACAGTCACATTCCACCATACCAGTCTAATTTTTGTATTTTTAGTAGAGACGTAGTTTCAACATGTTGGCCAGGCTGGTCTCGAACTCCTGACCTCAAGTGATCCTCCCACCTTGGTCTCCCAGAGTGCTGGGATTACTGACATGAGCCACAGAATAATCTTTGTGTGTCCCACCTCCATCCCTCCATCCTTTTTATTCTGCCTGTTTGAACATTTTCTGTATTCCCCTTTTTTTTTTTTTTTAATTTTACTTTGTTCTGACATTTTCTCCCTAAGTGGGAATTAGGGATGTACTCACTTTAACCAGGAAATAGTTTTTATTTCTATTAGCTTTACCTTCATGTTTCTTTCTTTCTTTTTTTTTTTTTTTTTTTTTTTTTTTTTTTTTTTTTTTTTGAGATGGAGTCTCGCTCTGTTTCCCAGGCTGGAGTGCAATGGCAAGATCTGGGCTCACTGCAAGCTCCGCCTTCCGGGTTCACGCCATTCTCCTGTCTCAGCCTTCGGAGTAGCTGGGACTACAGGCTCCCGCCACGACGCCCAGCTAATTTTTTTTATTTTTAGTAGAGACGGGGTTTCACTGTGTTAGCCAGGTTGGTCTCAATCTCCTGACCTTGTGTTCCACCCGCCTCAGCCTCCGAAAGTGCTGGGATCACAGGCATGAGCCACCGTGCCTGGCCTACCTTCATGTTTCTTATACATCATCTTTATATATTATTCCCTGTGTCTCCAGTCAACAAAAGCAGATCATTTGCTTTAATTGGAAAATATTGCCAATTAGGTTCTTTTGTGAATTGATTTATAGAATATCTTTCACTCGTCAGAACCACCAGCTTTAATGGTCATGGCTAATTGGACTTATTTTCCTTCATCATTTTATATCAGTTTACTTCAAGAAATACATTAAAAAATTATCTCTGTTTCTCCTTTAACCCAGATCTTAACTCTTCAATTTCAGGAGGATTTGGTTTGGCTCTTTTGGATGAGCATGACAGACTTTTGGTAATCATGAGAGCCTAGCTTCCTTCCTCAACCAACACTAACATTCATTGCACCTGGTGGCCCTTTATAACTTTTGGCAGACAGTTGTAGGTGTTTTCCAGTTACATTTAAGACATGGTATTCTTTTCATATTTTATTTTCCTTGATGTGGTGAGCTAGTTTGCAAGCATAGAATGATATTGTTTTACTCTACTGGGAAAGTCCTATGGAATGGTATAGTCCTCAGGAAGCTTGTTTTGTTCCTAGAGATCCCCACAGCATTGCATTCTCCTGAGAATGCCAACAAGGTAGAGGGGACCCTACCCTAAAGCATTTGTGTACAATTTAGAACAAAATTATCTCCATGCTCAAAAACTTCATTTAAGATTTTTTTAAATGAAAGAAATATATTAAGATATAATTTATAATTGTTTTTCCTTTTACCTTAGTATGTCTAAAGTAAATATAAATGCCCAAACAAAACTTGTTTAAAGTTTCTAATATTACTTGTATAAAAAAAGAAATAAACTTGTGGAAGAATACTAAATATAATCTTTTGTTCATTGTAGAGTATTCTACTACTTAATACATATATAGTTTTGGTTTTGATGGTAAGCATTCTTTTCTAACTGAAAAACCAGTTTGTTAATAATTAGAGACATTTCGGTAAAAATGGTCAACTATGCTTGTCAGGTGCTGTGAGGTTATATATTATATGTCTATATGAGCCTCCCAAGCAAAGTACATAGCTTTCCACTTTGTTTATCCTTTTTCACATTTTCTCCATTTCCCTTTGCTACATTTTAAGGCATTTCTTTCTTCATTTTTTCAATAGCTAGTTAGTGTAAAGGTAACATAAATATCATTGAAAGCGTACAATACATTTTGCTTTCTATTATGCACATACATAAATAAGAACACAAACGTAAATAGAAAAGCTTGCACATAAGTAAAAACTAGAAGCATAAATTGAAAAGACTAAAACATAATAGATTCATTTTTAGCATATATTAGATTTGTAAAAATATAATAACAAATAAATTGAATTAACAATTTTCTTTAGTCAGTTCTTTACTGAATTAGAAGTAAAATGCTTTTGTTTCTTAGAAATTTATTGGGGAGTGATTTTGACAATTAGAAAACAGCCTCTGTAACAGTTGAGATGTAGGTCTATTGAAAACAAATGCGGAATGAAACTTTTCAAGAGTGCTCCCATTTCTTGGACGTATTAATTAAATTCTTATTATGTGAGAGATAACTGGGGTAGCATTGCTGATTATTAAAAAAGAAACAGAGATGATAACAAAGCAAACCAGATCCTGTCCTCCAATAATCTACTCTGTAGAGGGCAAAGCAGCACAAATCACATGATCTTTTAAAAAGTTTATGGTGAGAATGATAATGATTGTTGTCGCAGAAGAATTTGCATGAAATGATGATCTATAAATAACCAGAGCCAAAAACTAACTAAATTGTATTAGCTTTTCACAGCACATAAAAAAAGAGGAGCTGTAATGAACTGAATGGGTAAGAAGAACACAGGTGCTCTGAGTTTGGAATCTATCTAGATAAAATCATTGTTTTCTCTTCTATTATTTTGGAGGAAGTTTTTCATCCTTGTCTATTTGCTAACACTGAGAACCACGATAAATACCATTTAAGACTTAAGGTATGGTCAACAATGTAGTGATACAAAACTACAACATAAATGTAGACATTTAAAAATAATGATGTTATAAAAAACAGACCTTTAGCTAAGAAAGTTTAAATCTCAACTAACAGCACTACTTTTTATTAGAAAAGTTTTTGCAAAGTTTGTAATGGTCTCTATTGTCATTAGTGGGTGTTATGAGGTGATGACTAGATGGTACTTTCTTATATCCAAAAATTGTCTTAACGCTAGATGCTTCAGGACATGGAACTCTTATTTCTGGATAATTTTTGAAGTGTATGATAATAATTCTGTACCCTAAATAAAAATGGATGGAAACAAATAAGAACACTACCTGGGGGTATCTTAAATTTATAGACGTTCTTAGAAAAAGGATAACTAATCCAAGAAATAACTGAATGATTTCAATATAAAAGGAAAATACTTTTAAGAAAATAGAGTCCTTCTGCAACAACCCTCAAACCTTAAAATAATAGGTCAGCTTGTCTGCCTTTGCAATGTAAGTGGGAACTTCTGGCATTGTGAATATATCAGTTTCTGTAGGAACTGAGTTATGAGTATGAATTGTTCACCAAAGGGTATAGAATGCTTCTCTTCAAAGTATCCTTTCAGTGTGTATGTGTGTGTGTGTGTGGGCTGCGCAAGGGCAGAAGGAATGGTGATATGTGTCCCTCAAAAATTAAATGTAAGTTCATGAGTCTGAAATGTTTGAATAACTAGTGGTTTATTTATATTTTTATCCTCATGGCTATAGGCGACTGGGTGATACCAGCGCATTCATATTGAACTTATTTCAGCAATATAGATTACAATACAAATACGTTCCATGGCTGCAAGGTCAGCCCAAATTAAACTTGTTTATGAACGTGTACAGCATTGTTTCAGGATCACCATTAACTAATTTTTGCAATAATTTCTGATGTAAAAAAATCTGTATAACAATTAAGTTAATAATTTTTAGATTTAAGTTATTTGGAAGTATTATTGCTGCTAAAAATCTAAGATTGAAATACTTTGTAGGATATTGAGTACAAAGAAAATCTTATTTAATTAAACAAATTCAATATAAGTGTCATAAGTGAAATGACCAGGTGGAATTATATCAAGCAATCTGTCTATGTAATGTAATTAAAATGAACTTATATCTAAATAAAAATAATAGTATGAAAAGACTTGTAAAAATCTAGAAGTTAGAAATAATATCTAAATTGTAAGTGTGGGAGTTCCAGAAGCCTTCATAGACAGTTATTTCACTGTGCTCTTTGAAAAATAACTCTTATATCCTGTAAATTGAAACAAAGCAAGAGAACTATACAGCAGAAACCTGCTCCTTCACACTATGGCCTTAGAATAATGAAAGGTCAAGAACAGTGATCATCCATCTCCATAATTTCAACTAACAATTGACAAACACAATTTAGAAACTACCAAAAAGTGAAATTGATCTTGTTCTTAGAGAAAATTGTACCTGTCTGTTTGGATTTCTCTACTGTGGTACAATAGCAACAATGATAGAGAATTCATTCACATCCATCAATACGAGTATGAAAACACTATTTTGTAAATGCTTTGATTCAATTTACAGAACAAAAACCCCATTTAAATGATATATCTTAGACAGTACTGGGAAATGCTCTAATACTGTATTTTCCTTTACATTTACCACGTGCAGCTATAATTTTGAAGCAGACACAGCTACAGAATGTACAATGTTTAAAAAATTTGACAATTCTAACATTATTAGTATATTTAGTTTCCCTGTGAGCTAATACTATCTCTCTTGAAACTTTCTAGAGATTAAAAATATAATTGAAGGAGGATGGGTTGAAATTGTATAAGACAGGATCCCTATTTTTTTTAAAAAGTGACAATAATATTTTTCATGCTTTAGTTGCAATATTGGGCAGCCATTTTTGCAAATATGGCAGGTAGATAATTGTGAAAAGAGAAGTGTTAACATCTCACATATAAAGCAACATTATAGAAAACAATATGTACTATTACCGTATCACACATTCATCATGATATATGTATATATTTAAATTAATAATTTCATAAAATATAGATATGTATTTATATTCCTTTAAAAGCAAAAGAACTATAAACCAATATTTTAAGTGATGTAATGAGATCTATAGAATATAATGTAAGCTAAAAAATACTTCCTTACAAAGGATGTATTAAAATTCTTAATCTAATATGGCCAAGACATTTGCAGATTTTTAAGACATCTTTTCATGTTCCGCTGATATTTTTATCTATGTTTAATGAGGATATTATATTATTATCTCATCAATTAAAATTTCTCATTCTAAGCTCAGGGTACGTTTTTCAATGTCTGTTCATATATATAAACACAAACTTTTAAATGGCATAATCTCTTAAATAAATTATATCAACAAAAAGATGTTTCTTGTCTCAAAGTATGTGAAATTGAATTTTGTAATTGGAGAGACCATCCACCAAATCCGTTGAGCAAACTGCCGTATATTTTAAAGACTCCATTCTTTTCTCTTTTTTTTCTCCTGTAAAGATTGGCACCACAGAATTGTTAGAATAAAATAAGATTAGTCATGAAAACGGACCAATAAACTAACTTCTCCCTAACAGCTAAATCAATATTAATGTTATCATTATCACTGTCATCATCATCCTTGTTGATAGTAGTACCAGCTGAGTAACTATTAGAAATACTATGGTAACAGCAGTTTTGAGTATCTAACACCTTGAATTAATCCCTGTGATGTAATATTTTGTGCTCCAAGGTGAAAGAATTATGTTTTAATCCTGTTATTAAGAATGGTACTTTTCTAATAGAGGTGCAAAATAAATATGAACCTGCACAATATGAAGAAAAACAGAAACCATTGCATTTCCCATGTAACATAAGAGTTTCTAACCTCTGATTACACTTTTCTTTTGTATTAGTTTCTTTGCATGTTAATTTTACTTTGCCAGTTGATTGTTACATAAATTTTTATTTTTACAAATATACTTTATTCTTGGCCGGGCACGGTGGCTCACGCCTGTAAGCCCAGCACTTTGGGAGGCTGAGGCGGGCGTATCACAAGGTCAGGAGATTGAGACCATCCTGGTTAAAACAGTGAAACTCCGTCTCTACTGAAAATACAAAAAATTAGCCGGGCATGGCGGCAGGCGCCTGTAGTCCCAGCTACTTGGGAGGCTGAGGCAGGAGAATGGCATGAACCCAGGAGGTGGAGCTTGCAGTGAGCTGAGATAGCACCACTGCACTCCAGCCTGGGTGAAAGAGCAAGACTCCATCTCAAAATAAATAAATAAATAAATAAATAAATAAATAAATAAATAATAAAGTACACTTTATTCTTTTAAACTAGTTTTAAGTTTCAAAAAAAACTGAGCAAAGGTTACAGTTTCCATATACATTCTCCTCCCAATGCACATACATATGCACACATATACAGAGTTTCCCCTATTATCAAGATCTTGCATTAGTATGGTACATTTTTTGCACTTCAGGAGCCAGTATTATTACAAGTTTATCAAGGAAAATCCATAGTTTATATTAGTGTTCACTCTTAAGTTGTACATTCTACAGCTGTGACAAATGTATAATGTTATAAATCCATCTGTACAGCATCATATAGAATAGTTTTATTGCCCTGAAAATGCTCAGGGTTCCATCTCTCACCTTTCATACCCTCTTCACAAAGCCCCTGGAAACGTCTGATCTTTTTACTATCTTTTGCATTTACCATAATGTCATATATTTGAGAATCATACTGTACTTAGCCTTTTTAGACTAATTTCTTTCACCTTGTAATATACATTTAATTTTCTTCCATGTCTTTTTGTGGTTTATTGGTTCATTTCTTTTTATCACTAAATAATATTATATTGTATGATTTATCAAAGTTTGTTTATCCACTCACCTATTGAAAAACAATATGGTTGCTTCCAAGTTTTGTAATTATAAATAGAGCTGCCATGTTTCATATTTATGTTTGATATTTACAAAAACAACAGAGTATGCTTATTTTAATGATGCTCTTAATTTTCACAAATATTTTAAGTGAAGTATCTTGTGTTTTTAAGCTAAACAAATTAAGTTCTTCAGAAATGAACCACTAAAATTGCTATCATATAAAAAAAAATACTGATGTCATCTTTGTTCAAAGTTCCCTAATTTATAGGCCCTTTTTCAGAACAACTATGCATTTCAACTATCTGACCAACACAGAAAGAACAAGATATGTAAATATAATTATTATAAGATAGTTTAGAGAACAAGAATAATTTCACTATATTTGCACATCTATTTACTACCAGACATTTGTGTCATAATATTATAATAGAAGAAAGAAACCTTAAGGGGTACTGCAGGATTATAAACTACTTAATGCATTTTACTTCTCATTGGCCCGCAAGTACTATAGGCTGGTAATACAGAAACTTGTATTCCCCTCTTTAGCAAAGGACTAGGGGTACAGAGGAAAAGATCTTGCCATAAGGAAGTATCTGGCGTCAAATATCACAAAAGTAGTACCTACAAATTTTATATCTTAAAATAAATTGAAAATGTGGGTATTTTCAGATATACTAAGCCAAAAATCTTCCCAGCAAAATCTGAAAAATTCCTTTGCAATTCAATTGTTTGCAACTTTACATTCTTTTCCATGTTAAAAAGATTATCTCAATGAGGTCACAAAGATTTCTTTTCTGTTGTCACTGAATACCTAGTGTCTCTGATACTGCTTACAAATGATAACTATAATAGATAGTCATGGAATGAGTAAAGAGCTGATATGGTTTTACTGTGTCCCCACCCAAATCTCACCTTGAATTGTAGTAATCCCCATGTGTCAAGGGTGCAGACAGGTAGAGATGATTGAATCATGGGGACAGTTTCCCCCATACTGTTCTCATGGTAGTGAATAAGTCTCAGGAGATCTTATGGTTTTACAAAGGGAAGTTCCCCTGCACAAGCTCTCTTGCCTGCCGCCATGACTTTGTTCCTTCTTTGCTTTCTGCCATGGTTGTGAGGCCTCACAGCCATGTGGAACTGTGAGTTAATTAAACCTCTTTCCTTTATAAGGAAAGTATGTCTTTAGTAGCAGCGTGAGAACAGACTAAGACAGAGCTATCCCTGGAATAGCAAATTCAGTACAATTTTCCCAGCACTTCCAGGTGAATCCTAGAATGGTTTGATTTCTAGCCTTGGCTGAAGATCCATGAGAGCAATCTGAAAGAGAGGACTCTATAGTGTTATGAATTAATGCTAAAAAACTTATAGCTTATGAATATATATATATATATATATATATATATATATATATATATATATATATATATAAATACATACATTTGTATACAAGGACGTATATTTCCAAGATGTACCTAAATACATACATATACATGGTGTATATAAACATCTAGCACTTAGTTTTTTGCAAGATGCAATTTGTGGTAGATTGTAAAATGACAGCAAATTAAAAAAAACAACCTTGCTTGACTATGCCACTGCATATTGTGTATTCTCTCAAGTAGAGGTGTTGTCTATCCTTGACTCTAGGTGGGTGATGAGGCTTGTTTTGGCCACGAGGCATTATAAATGTGATGCAAACATAGACTTGAAAATATTTGTACATTAACACATGCTTTTTCACTGCCCTTTGGAATCTTGAGCCTGCCATGGAATACTACAGGAAGAAGCTCATATTAACCTACTTAATTAGAAGGAATCATGAAGAGCAGAAACACTTTGGCTCAGCATATGCTCTTATTCTATCAGGCTATTAACTGATGGAAATTTGAGTGAGACCATCCTATAACATTTAGCAGCCAGATGACCCATCGTCTCTGTTAGGGTCAAGCCAACTAGACTGTTCCCCTCCTTTCCCATAAGTCTTCCAATACAGTCATTTGTGACCCCCACACAGCTCTCCCGAGGCTAGAATAAGACCCCCCTTCCAATGACCCTTCCAGTAACTGTTTGTTCAAAAGATTTCAGCTGAACTGGCAGATGCTTCAAGGATGCTGTCAGAAAACCTGCCCACCTTGCATAACGAAGCTGGCAAAAAACATCTCCAGGATGTGGTTAGGACACCTGTAACCCAGACTCAGTCCCCACACCCTGACCCAGTTCCTCGCCCTATAAAGCCCTGCTATAGTCTGTAAGCCAGGCTGCCTCCTCTGCCTGTCAAGGAGCAGCCTGGCAGGACAATAAAACTTGCTCACCTGACTTAGGGTCTACTCATCCTTTCTCTCAGCTAACCTTAAATTTTGGTGCCAAAACCTGGGAAGGTGGTAGAGTTCAGCCTCCCTTTCTCCCTTTCTCCTTCCCTCCCCACCTCTTCCACCAGCCGAACTCCCCCTTCCAGAACCTGCCAGAGACCCAGAGTATTTCCTACTCCACTCCATTGCTCACAAACACATCCAACACCAGGGCCGCCTCAGGGATGAGTAAAGGAGACTTCTGCCTTCTGTCTGGAACCCTTGTCCACTCTTCCTTTCTCGAAAGACCCAGTACTGGGCCAAAGGTTTCCTCTTTCCTGCCTGCAGGCCCTCAATATCTCCCTTTCAGGGATGTCTGGACGGGTGATTATCACTCCTCTCCAACTTGAACCATGGCACGGGGGATGCCTTCTTCCACCATCCTAGTCTTCGGCCAAGTCTCCTGTCTCCACCCCTCCCTCACTCATTCCACCATGGGAGCCTCTCAGTCCACTCCCTCAAAGACATCCTTCCTCGGATGTCTCTTCCACAACTTTAACGCCTTTGGCCTCCATTCCAAAATTTGGCCAAAATGGCTCATATTATATTGTAACATGGCCTGGTCTCAATATAAACTGGACAATGGCTCCCAATGGCCTGAAAATGACACTTTTGATTCTAACATCCTCAGGGACCTAGACAACTTCTGCCATCACAATGGAAAGTGGTCGGAGATCCTTTATATTCAAGCTTTTTTTCCCTCCATAGCCATCCCTCTCTCTGTCAGTCTTGTTCTGCCTTCCAGACCCTCCTTCCCTGCTCCAAGCCTGACCCATCCTCAGCCACCCACCTCACCACTCCTTCTGACGATTCCTCCTCCTTTGACTCTGCCCGCTTTCCTCCTCCCCAACAACATCATAATCTTCTGCCAGAGCATCACGATCCTCCACCATATGCTCCCGATCCTGCCTTATCTCTTTCTCCCACTATCTCCAGCCACCCAGCTTCTGATTCTGATTCCTCCCCATCCCCACCTGATACCCACTCATGAACTCAGCATGCCCAACAACCAGCTCCCATACTTACCCTTTGAGAGGTGGCTGGGACTGAAGGGATCATTTGCATTTCCATGTTCCCTTCTCCCTCTCTGACCATTTCCAAATTGAAAAACATCTGGAGTCCTTTTTCTCTGATCCCGACACTTATATTAAGGAGTTCAAATACCTTACCCAATCTTACAAACTCACTTGGCGTGATCTTTATATTATCCTCTCTTCTACTCTCCACCTGGAAGATAAGGAAAGAGTGTGGTTCGTAGCTCAGGCTCATGCCAACAATCTTCATCGGCAAGACCCTACTAACCCTGTAGGAGCCACTGCAGTTCCCAGGGAGGAACCCCCCTGGGAATACCAACCCATGAGCCCCGGCAGGGCATCTCGTAATTATATGATCACTTGCCTCATCGTAGGCTGTAGCAAAGCTGCCCATAAGGCCATAAATTTTGAAAAACTCAAATGAATTTCCTAAAGAGCCAGTGAAAACCCTGCCAAATTTCTCTCCCACCTTACAGAGGCCCCCCAAAAATACACCCGCATTGACCCCACCTCCTGGGAAGGAAATATTGTTCTTAATACCCATTTCCCTCAATCTGCTCCTGACATACAGTGCAAACTAAAAAAGGTGGAAGACGGCCCTCAAACCCCACAATAAGACCTCCTTAACCTGGCTTTCAAAGTCTTCAATAACAGGGATGACTAAAATAAATTAGATAAAGCCCAAAGAGATCGTGCTAAATACCAGCTTCTTGCAGCAACTATCAGCCAACCTGGCCATAGCACCCAAGGGCACAAAAGACCCGATAGCAGTATTGCCCCAGGCCTTATTTTAAGTGCAGCAAAGAGGGCCATCGGGCGTGGGCATGTCGTACCCCACGAGTGCCAAAAACTCCTTGCCCAGCCTGCCAACACACTGGCCACTGGAAGTCTGATCGTCCTCTTAACAAGTAGACTAACAGGTTGGCTCCTCCAAGTCCTGGCAAAGCAAAGAGTGAAGAATCACTCACACTCCCTCCCGCAGCTCCTTGGCCTGGCCACTGAAGACTGACGGACCCCAGGGCCCCCGGCCCCATCAGTCATCACTGCATCATAGCCCAGGGTACCTCTGCCAGGAGCAAGTCAGTCGATCTCCATACTGAGGCTACCTACTCAGCTTTGCCTGAATTTTCAGGACCCACTCATCCCTTCCAGATCTCTGTCATGGGGATTGACAGACTCATCTCACGTCCACGTGCCACTGAATCCCTCACTTGTTCCCTGTTTAATACTATTTTTTCACACTCCTTCCTTATGCCTTGCTGCCCTACCCCAATTCTAGGCTGCAATCTTTTAGCCAAATTTAAGGCTTCTATCATCTTTTCCTGCCTCCGTCAACCAGAGTCCCTCCTGCTCCTTTCCGCTAGTCCGGCCCCTGACCCCTCTCCTCAGTACCCACTTCTTGCTGCTCTTGTTAACCCAGTAGTGTGGGATACTGCCACCCCTTCCATAGCTGCTCACCATAACCCCATCAAAATCCAATTAAAAGACCCCTCCAAATTTCCCAACATTCCCCAATATCCCATCTCCCTAATCAACCAAAAGGGCCTCCAGCCCATCATAAACCATTTCTGCTCACATGGGCTTCTTAGACCAATACATTCTCTATATCCCTTATCCTCCCTGTTAAAAAATCTGACGGCTCATAACAACTTGTTCAAGACGTCCAAGTTATCAATCAGGCTGTCCTCCCTACTCATCCCATAGTCCCTAACCCCTATACACTTCTCTCTCTCATCTCCTCCAACACCACCCACTACACTGCAATTGAACTAAAAGATGCCTTCTTCACCATTCCCCTACACGCTGATTCCCAAAACCTCTTTGCTTTCACCTGGACTGACCCCGACACCTTCCAGTCACAACAACTCACATGGACTATTCTCCCTCAAGGCTTCAGGGATAGCCTTCATTTCTTCAGGCAAGTCCTAGCCCAAGACCTTGCCTCCTTAAACCTTTCCCCTAGCCATCTTCTTCAATACGTAGATGACCTCCTCCTCTGTAGCCCCTCCCTAAAAAACTCCCAAACCCACACTGCCACGTTTCTCAATTTCCTTGCTGATAAAGGCTATAGGGTCTCCACCTCCAAAGCACAGCTTTCTACCCCTACCATGACCTACCTAGGGGTTCAACTCTCCCCTGGGTCCCGAGCCATGACCCTGGCACGAGCAGCCTTAATAGACAACCTATCTTCACCTTCCTCAAAAAGTGAAATTCTTTCCTTCCTAGGGCTAGCAGGCTTTTTCAGAATATAGATCCCCAACTTCATTCTCTTAGCCCACCCTCTCTATGAAGCAGCCAAAGGTCCCCTAAATGAGCCCCTAAATCCCTCCCACAACATATGCCCTAGCTTTCACAAACTTAAAACTGCCCTTATAAGTGCTCCAGTCCTATCTTTGCCTGATATTTCCTGGCCCTTCACCCTCTACACAACTGAAAACCAAGGAATAGCCCTTGGTGTCCTTGGCCAAGCAAAAGGAAGTCCTCCATCATTTGCCCCCATAGCCTACCTTTCCAAACAGCTAGACCATTACTGCCCTAGGATGGCCAACCTGCTTCAGAGCTCTAGTGGCAGCTGCCACCCTGGCCTTAGAAAGTAAAAAGCTAATATTTGGTCAAGACACCACCATCCACAGTCCGTATAATCTACAAGACCTGCTTTCCTTCCAAATATTAAGCGTTCTCTCCCCATCTCGCATCCAGATTCTTCATGCTCTATTTCTCGACAACCCTGAGTTCTGTCTTGCCAAAAGTTCCCTTAACCCCACTTCTCTAATTCCAATATCTTCCTTGCTTCCCTCCCACTCCTATACTGAAATTGTAGACCACCTGCAACCACACTTCCCTAACGTCTCCTCCGAGCCTCTCACTAATCCAGATGACCAACTATTCATAGATGGCTCCTCTTCCAGAGCCACTGGCTGTCCCAAAATTGCTGTGTATGCAGTAGTTACCTTAAACCAAGTAATTAAGGCTGAGCTCCTCCCCCCACAAACCTCCTCCCAAAAAGCAGAACTTATAGCTCTCTCCAGAGCCCTAACCCTCTCCAAATCAAACGAGTCATCATTTACCCAGACTCCAAATATGCCTATCACATTCTTCATTCCCATGCCACCATCTGGCAAGAGAGAGGATTCCTTACTGCCAAAGGAACCCCCATCACTAACGGCCCCCTTATTTACCAACTCCTTCAGGCTGCACACCTTCCAACTAAAGCAGGAGTTATACACTGTTGAGGACACCAAACAGGATCAGATGAAATCTCAAGAGGGAACAGAAAGGCTGATGAGGCAGCAAAAGAAGCCTCCCTTTCTTCTGTCCCTGCCCGCCTCCTCCTCATTCCCCCAGCAGTCCAACCCAAGTACTCTCCCACCCAAAAGCCTTCACTACTACAGCAGGGGGCCTCCCTTCAAGGAGACTGGATAATCAAAAATCAAAAGCTCGTCCTCGCCCAAGAGCAAACCAAGGAAATTGTGACATCTCTTCACCAATCCTTCCATATCGGTGCGCACCCCCTGTACCTGCTCCTTCGCCCTTATTTCTCCTCTCCCCATCTATTCACCTCACTCAAAGACATAACCTCAAACTATCATATATGATCTGTTACTTCCTCCCAAGGGGCCCTCTGCTCTCTCCTCATCATTATACATCAGCTTAGAGGAACACTCCCAGGGGAGGACTGGCAAGTAGACTTCACCCACATCCTTCCCGTCAAAAAAAATAAATATCTTCTTCTCCTCATAGACACCTTTTCAGGTTGGGTAGAAGCATTTCCTACCCCTTCAGAAAAAGCTGCAGAAGTCTCTCAAATTCTCATAACAGAAATCATCCCTAGAATTTGGGCTGCCTCGCTCCATACAATCAGACAACGGCCCTAGCTTCATCTCCCAAATCACCCAACAAGTCTCTCAGTCCCTTGGCATGGTAATTCCATATCCCAGACCAGTCCCAGTCATCTGGAAAGTCAGAAGGGCAAATGAGATTCTCAAGACTCAGTAACCAAACTCACTCTTGAAGTCAAAAAACCACAGATCTCCCTTTTACCCACAGCACTGGCTGGCATCAGAGCCAGTCCAAAAGCTCCCTCCTTCCTCAGTCCATTCAAGTTAATGTATGAATGCAATTTCCTCTTACAAAACAGACCTCTTCCTAACTCTCAATTAGGAGAATACCTCCCAACGCTCTCCCTCATCTGTCATCTCCTCTGCAAAGAAGCTGATCAGGCCCTCCCAAAACCCCACCAAGGCCCCGCCAACCAAACTCTCCTTCCAGGAGAGTATGTCTTCCTAAAAACCCTCACTCCAATGAGACTTAAACCAAAGTAGGAAGGCCCTTTCCAACTTCTTCTCACTACCCCCACTGCAGCCAAACTTTCAGGACGTAACTCTTGGTACCATCTTTCCAGATTATAAAGGACTCCTGCAACTGACCCACCACCGACTAATCAACCAGCTGTTCCCTGCAAACACTCCAGCACTCTCCTTGGGCCAACCTGACTCCACCTTACGCCCATCCCAGAAGACCCCACACTCCTCTCACCCATGAATCCTAACAGATAAGTTACCACCCTTCACTGTTAAATATCTGAACCCTCATTAATGAAAATCATTTACTGCGCTGCCCTTACAGGAATTGACTGACTTACTCTGCTCTTTGCTATAGGAATATATATTGTAACACCCCCAGGGTGGAACTTCAAACAGAAAATCTTATTTTCTATAGCCTTTTGCCTCATAATTCTCCTTATAGCAGGAATAACAGCCACTAACAAGTAACTGTCCCTCCTAAATGTCCTGCCTTTGCCTGTCTTGCCGTTTCACCCTCTTCCTTCACTGCCTCACAGAAGACATTCCATGGTTTTACCTAGAACAACCCACCCTCACAGCATTCCTTGACTAGATAACTGACCTCACCTTCCAAGGTACCTTCTGTAATTTTACCCCAGATGAAACTCATTTCTTCACTTTTATCCTTACCCTTTGCCTGTTTACTCCTACTGCCCCTCCTGCCCCCCACACACTCTAGCTCTCCTTCCTCCACCAATACCTAACTACCTTCACAAAGCCCTCAATCTTACACACTCCTATTAAAAGAAGTTAACCCTACTCTAGCAAGCAACTGCTGGCTCTGTTTCTACCTATCTACTACAGCTTACAGCGCAATTCCTTCCTCAGCTCAGGACTGGGTTTTAACCCAAGTAACCTTCCACCCCCATTATGAACTAGGTGGCCCTCTCCAATTTCCAGACTTAAAGGCCTTAATAGACCTTTCTAACTCCTTTTCTAGCTCAAACAAGCCTCTCACTGCAATAGGACAAGCAGCTCTATTATTATATCCCTATTTCGATTATCTGGCCCCCTATGCTAACCACACCAAGCCCATCCTAGGTCCCATAACCACCAACACCTTTCTAACTCTTCAAGCCCCTTTATGTATTCAATGCCACCCACCCTCTGGACACCTCCTATGACACCTACCTTCAAGCCACTGTAATTTTACCCTACGACTCCAGGGCCCAGTTGACCATACCAGTCTCCAGATCTTCAGGGTTACCTTATGCTTTTCAGCTCCCCTAGCCCCCACAAAGTTAACATCACCCTCCTACAGAACATAAACTCTGGATACTGTAATGAAAAACACTACTCTGCTTGTTCCTCCAACCCTGGACTCCATCCCCCTGTGAAGCTCATCCCCCCTACTACAGACGAATGCCTCCTCATCCCATCATTTAAAGACAACCCCTCTAACCAGCTCTTAATAGACACAAAATGCTTCCCCTTCCACTGGGAAAGTAAAGGCAAAAACTACCAAAAAAAAACCCATACACTCCCTTACAACCACTCACCACAGCCGCCTTAGCTAGCACCCTAGGGGCATGGATGTACAAAGACAACAAACTTACAAATCTTTTTAACATACATAACCAATTCTGCTTAACTAGCCCAGGCATATTCTTCCTATGTGGCACCTCAACTTATCTCTACATCCCCACCAATTGGACTGTCACCTGCACTCTGGTGTTTCCTAGTCCCAAAATTGACATTGCCCCAGGAAACCAATTCCTGCCTACCCCAATTCAGGCCTCGGTTCAACATCGTCAAGCCATACAACTCATATCCCTACTTGCCAGACTAGGAATTGCCACTGCCACAGGAACTGGAATAGCAGGCCTATCCACTTCCCTCACCTACTATCGCTCACTCTCAAAAGACCTTATGGACATATAGAGGGCATAGCTAATGCCGTCTCAAACCTCCAATCACAATTGGAATCATTAGCAGCAGTAGTCCTCCAAAACTGCAGAGGTCTTGACTTACCCCTGAAAAAGGAGGTCTCTGCATTTTCTTAGATGAGCAGTGCTGTTTTTATCTCAACCAATCAGGTTTGGTACAAGATGCAGTCAAGAAGCTCAAAGACCAAGCTCAGAAAATAAAACAGCTCCTCTGCCTGGCCCTCTTGGCCCCCTTGGTCCCCTTGGTGTCTCAGTTCTTGGGCCACCTGGCTACTTCCCCTCCTTGGCCCTGCTATAACTATCCTCCTTCTCCTGGCCTTTGGGCTCTGCCTCTTGCGCCTATTCACTCAGTTTTTACAAAATCGCATCCGAGCCTTCACCCAGAGAACCATACAGGACATGATGTTACTCCAAGAAGACCGACAATTTTTAAACCAGAACCAAAACCAACCCCTACCTTACAGCCTCTCCCACTAACCACTGCCCCTTCTCAGCTTAAAGCAGACTGATGAGAACAACACTGCTTTTCTATTATCTGTTAGAAGGCTGGAATGTTAGGGTCAACCCAACTAGACTATTCTCCTCCTTTCCCATAAGTCTTCCAATACAGTCCTTTGTCACCACCCCCCAACAGCTCCCCCAAGGTTAGAAGTAGACCCTGTGCCCCCTACCCCCTCTCCCACTGACCCTTCCAGTAACTGTTTGTTCAAAAGACTTCAGCTGAGCTGGCAGACGGTTCCAGGATGCGGTCAGAACACCTACCCACCTTGCATAACAAAGCTGGCAACAAACATCTCCAGGATGCGGTTAGGACACCTGTAGCCCTGACTCAGTCCCCACATTCTGACCCAGTTCCTCGGCCTATAAAGCCCTGCTGTAGTCTGTAAGCCAGGCTGCCTCCTCTGCCTGTCAAGCAGCCTGGCAGGACAACAAAACTTGCTTGCCTTGGGTCTACTAGTCCTTTCTCTTGGCTAACCTTACAGTCTGGCAATAGACGCATGAGAAAACCCAGCAGAGGTCAGCCGAACTTTCTCAGCAGGATCACATGGCTGAGCCACAGAATTATGGGCTAAATAAAATGATTGTTACTTTAAGTCACTGTTTTGTGTGAGTTTAGTATGCAGAAAAATATAACCAATGCAGACTCATTTTTTTTACATGTTGTAAACAAAATAGTAGCAAGTATTACTTCTTTTTAGTTAGGTTAAATTTGGATGGGTTAGTGAAAAGATAATATGTTGTATGGATATTGAAGTAGGCTTAGTAATAAGCCAGAGTGCATTGCAGAATAATTAATAACTATCTATGGTTTTGAAAATATGTATTTAAAAACATGACTTTCACATTCTTCATTAATAGAACAGTTTTGCAGTATCATTATAGTTCATCCAGTTTAACTTGTTTTTTAAATGAATTTTTGTGTGATCTTCAATGTATCCATATGGTGTTCTTTGTGTTTGAAATAATATTATTTGAGATACATATTTTGGGGGGGGGCCTCTTTAATTCAATCTATTTTTTGCTAAATACATGGCCTTATCTTAGAGCTTGTGAAAGAAAGCCCTCACTTGTAAGTACACAATATTATTGAGTTCATGGTTTTAGAAAATTTTGGTTACGTTTAAGTATGTAGACACATACATACATATCCTAGTTTATTGTAAAATATAGACAGTATGATTGTCAAAGAAGTTGATGTTATAGGCTTTCAATATCATACAGTTCTGAGACCTGACATGATGCATGTAATGATATTCAGAAAATTGCATTGCTTGCAAGTTTAACCTTTAAATAAATAAGAGCAAAGGTTTCTTTTTGCTTTCATTGACATTGTGGAAAAAAATGTCAGAGAGATACATAAAAAAGGATATTATTCATTTTTGGAAGGGTTTATGATAAACATGTAATCCCCTTGTATTCTGAATTAATCAGTGCAGTTATGTCCAGTTGGTTTAAAATACAATCCTCAAATTCCTTCAATTTAACAGATAAAGTGTTTTTTTTTTGTTTTGTTTTGTTTTTTTTCTCATTTGAAGACTGATGTGGATGTTCTTAACTGAGCTCCTGTGGTTGGTGGCCATCCTTATAGTTCTGCCTGCCATACATGGGTAGAAAAAATTATGAAAACCTTAGGGAACTGTTTATGGGCCAGAGGTCCACTTCACTTCTGTTCCCATTTCATTGATATATTAGAACTGAGTGGTACTATGTTGAGGCTTGAGGATTTGAAAATTGTATTTTTTCCATGAACAAAATGAAAATGAATAAACCAGGAGGACAAAAGTTTATCTCTGCAAAATGCCCTTTTCTCATTCTAATTCCAAATCCTCAAACTCTTACTTAAAATTGTTCTATATTTATTTGGTATGCTTTCTCCCTTCCTTCATTTATCAACGTGGGAAACTTTGCATTGACTCCTTCCAATGAAACATAAGAGTTATAAGGCTTACTTTATCTTATTCTTCTTCCCTCTTGACTGATATTTTTATTAATGCATTATTTTTTTCTATTGATTATGGTTTCAACTTTGAAATTAGCACATAGAATTTTATGTCTATCTCAATCACCTGCCAACAGAATCGCAAGCCTTTACTGAGGCAATTTTTTTTATCTCAATCTCCCCAATCTCTACCAACAAAAATTTTACTTTAGCAGTGCCAAAGGTTTTAATTTACATTCCATTCGACCTTGAAAATCATTTTTCCTATTCTGTGTCTTTAAGGTGACTAAAATTATGAAGCAATATAATTTTGTATTAATTTTACTACATAATTATGTTTAATTATATCCAAGTACTATAAATTTTCTAGTTTTATTTGCATATGGTAATTATTATCAATGCCTTGATACTCATATGTGAATATTCCTAGCTTCAAAGACAAATATTTTTGTTTAATTGTACCACTTCCAATTTTATCTCCCCACCACATCTTTTATGCTGCTTCTTGTTTGAACTGTGACTTTTATACATAGGTATATTTACTGGAGTTTGTGATTGCTTTTCTTCTTATGTTTTTATTTTTGTGCCTTCATCAGTATCTTTTTTCCCTCAGCTCTTAATCACACTTAGTGTTTTATCTAGATTTCGTATATCTTAGAAATTTCCCTATCAAAGCATCCTGTGTGATGTGGAGATGATGCCCACTAGGCTATTAAAATAATTTGTCCCACTCTGTATGTCAGAGTCAGTGATTCCCATGCCACATGCCTTTTATTTTGTTTCCCTGCCCCCCCAGTTTTGATAGAGCATAAACAAGCTTGTGGCAGGTAAGTTTTGTTTATCTAGTTTTTATTTTTATTTCCATAAGTTGTTAGGGTACAGGTGGTATTTGGTTACATGAGTAAGTTCTTTAGTGGTGATTTGTGAGATTTTAGTGTAGTCATCAACTGTGCAGTATACACTGGACCATACTTGTAGTCTTGTATCCCTTGCCCTCTCTCCTACTTTTCCCCACAAGTCCCCAAAGTCCATTGCATTATTCTTATGCCTTTGTGTCCTCATAGCTTAGCTCCCATATATCAGTGAGAACATATGATGTTTGGTTTTCCATTCCTGAGTTACTTCACTTAGAATAATAGTCTCCAATCTCATCCAGGTCACTGCAAATGCTGTTAATTCATTGCTTTTTATGGCTGCGTAGGATTCCACCATATATATATATATATATATATATATATAGCGGAATATATATATATATATATATGTAGCGGAATATATATATATATAGCGGAATATATATATATATATAGCAGAATATATATATATATAGCGGAATATATATATATATAGTGGAATATATATATATAGCAGAATATATATATATATATAGCGGAATATATATATATATATGTATATATATCACAGTTTCTTTATCCATTCGTTGACTTGTTGATTGATGGGCATTTGGGTTGGTTCCAGGATTTTGCAGTTGTGAATTGTGCTGCTATAAGTATGCATGTGCAAGTATCTTTTTCAAATAATGATTTCTTTTTCTCAGGGTAGATACCCAGTAGTGGGATTGCTGGATAAAATAGTAGTTCTACTTTTAGTTCTTTAAGGAATCCCCATAGTTTTTGATAGTGGCTGTACTAGTTTGCATTCTGTGGGACATAAGTTTGATTTGTCCTTTAAATGTGAAAACATCCTCTATGGCCTCACAGTTGACTGACAATTTGGGTGAGAACAGAATTCTAGACAATGGCCTCCAAAGCATCTTTTCTATCAGAACTTTGATAGCAAGATATTGGTATCTGTACTATTCATTGTTCTCTGAGGTTAGTTTGATTCTCATGATCAAAATGTATTTTTTCTCCTCTCTCTTTCAGTTTCAAGGATTATCTCTTTGTATTTTGCATTTTAAATTTTTACAAACATGTATGGATACAATTTGTTTTTAATTATTTTGTTCACTTCAAATGGGTTCCTCAGATTTGCTCTATAAGCAGTTGAAAGCATCCAAACTGACACTTAAGATGTTCAACTTCTAGATTTATATCTATTATTTTACTTCATAGGCTTTCCGTTAACATCATTCTCTACGTTTTATGGAACTTTTTAAAGTATGCATATTGCCTACAGCTTTTATTTCTTTCCAAAGTAGAAATTACATTTTTAGTTTCTGAGAATTTTTAAACTTGCTTTACTTAATTTTTATTTTTCATGGTGTCTTATTGTTTAAGAAATGTATGTTTTGCCAGTATCTGAGTGTGTTGATTAGATTTAAATTTAGGGTATTTTAAACTTTTTATTTTCTTAAATCATCTTTGTTTATTTTGGGCTTGGCTTTTACTTTCATTATTAGCTTTGCTTTAGTTTTTCCTTTTTATTTGGTTAGTTTTTACTGCATAGGATTATTCGGTAAGCATGAGAATATTTCCTTCTTCTTACTTCATACGTAAAGCCCAAGAATGTTTTTTCTTTTCTTTTCTGTAAGTAGATCTGTTACAGGTTAGATAATTTCTCTGAATGAGAATGCTAACAACTGTGGGCTTTCTAGCTATCATTTTTGGAAAGGAACAGGAAAAATTCACTTTATGATTAGAGTGTTTAAATCCTGTTGAGTTATGGGCATCCCATAATGACACCACAAATGCTAGAATAGGGAGGCCTTATTTACAATCGTTCACATCATAGCTAGATTGAGGATAATGCAGGCTCCATAATCTATGTATGCTCCTGGTGGAGATAGCAACGAAGATTAAAGACGGTTTTAAAATACATATTCTAAGTTGCTTCCTTTGGTTTTAACATGTATTTTATTACAGCCTTCTCCTGACCTCCTGACATTGAACCCAGATTCTCTCTGAGTCCCCTTGGGCAGACTTCATTTTTCTCTTGGTGAGCATCATTGAACCATATTCTTTGTAATTTTGTTGCTAGTATCTGTTTCAATTCTTCTCTAGTTCTAGTCCCTCTCTTCTCTCTCTCCCTCTCTCTCTCTGAAATACTGTAAAATCCTTCATTTGTTTATGGACTCTTCTTGTTCATTATGTGTTTACTCCTTTATCTATTTCTATATCCTTATTTAATTAGTGTCTTGGGAGGTACAGAAGACAAAGGAATGTGCTTCATCTGGCATAAGAGCCTTAAGCTTACACTGAATTTCAGTAACCCACCACATTGCTTTTTATTGCACATTTCTAAATAAAATGGATTACCCACTCAAAAATTGATTGCTTGAATAATTTAGTAATGCATTCTAATTTGTCAATTTAGCCTAAAAACAAAAAGAACAATGAACACAAGTTTAGCAGTCTTCAAATGTTTCATTGTGTCTCCTGTGAAATTCAGTAGATATGCCATCCAATATTTGTGGATGTCTCCTTATGTGTGAGACAGATTACTGACCTATATGCAAGAATTTATATAAATAGTAGGGTTACATTTTTATTATATATAAAAGATATGACAAAACAAATACAGAGGAACCACAGTATATCTGGGGAGATA
The DNA here is from genome assembly GCF_000001405.40 of Homo sapiens. Lineage (NCBI taxonomy): Eukaryota > Metazoa > Chordata > Mammalia > Primates > Hominidae > Homo > Homo sapiens. The sequence goes on along the minus strand of NC_000013.11, from coordinate 86,752,295 downwards.
TTAGAGACCATATACCTTTCTCAATGCAACAGAATAGAGACCTCAGAAATAACAACACATATTTACAACCATCTGACATTCAACAACCCTGACAAAAACAAGCAATGAAGAAAGGATCTGCTATTCAATAAATGGTGCTGGAAAAACTGGATAGCCATATGCAGAAAACTGAAATTGGGCGCCTTTCTTAACACCTTATACAAAAATTTACTCAAGATGAATTAAAGACTTACATGTAAAGCCCAAAACTATGAAAACTCCTAGAAGGAAACCTAGGCAATACTATTCAGTACATAGGCATGGGCAAAGATTTCATGACAAAAATGCCAAAAGCAATTGCAAAAAAAGCCAACATTGACAAATGGGATCTAATTAAACTAAAGAGTTTATGCAAAGCAGAAAGAAACTATCATCAGAGTGAACAGGCAACCCACAGAATGGGAGAAAATTTTTGCAATCTACCCATCTGGCAAAGCTCTAACATACAGAATTTATAAGGAACTTAAACAAATTTACAAGAAAAAAAACAACCCAATGAAAAGTGGGTGAAGGATATGTCTTCTCAAAAGAAGACATGTGGCCAACAATCATATGAAAAAAGCTCAATATTACTGATCATTAGAGAAATACAAATCAAAATCACAATGAAATACCATCTCATGCCAGTCAGTATGGCGATTATTAAAATGTCAAGAAACAATAGATGCTGGCAGGGCTATGGAGAAGTAGGAATGCTTTTACATTGTTGGTGGGAATGTAAATTAGTTCAACCATTGTGGAAGACAGTATGGTGATTTCTCAATGATCTAGAACCAGAAATACCATTTGACCCAGCAATCCCATTACTTGGTATATACCCAAAGGAATATAAATCATTCTACTATAAAGACATATGCACACATATGTTTATTGCAGCACTGTTTACAATAGCAAAGTCATAGAACCAACCCAAGTGCCCACAATCATAGACTGACTAAAGAAAATGTGGTGCATATACACCATGGAATACAACACAGTCATAAAAAGGAATGCAATCATGTCATTTTCAGGGACATGGATGAAGCTGGAAGCCATCCTCCTCAGCAAACTAACACAGGAACAGAAAACCAAATACCACATGTTCTCATTCATAATTGGGCATTGAACAATGAGAACGCATGGACACAGAGAGGGGAACAGCACACACCAGGGCCTGTTGCGGGGTGGTGGGCGAGGGCAGGGAACTTAGAGGACGGGTCAATAGGTGCAGCTAATCACTGTGCACATTTATACCTAGGTAACAAACATGCACGTTCTGCACATGTATCCCAGAACTTAAACTAAAATTAAAATAAAAAAAAAGAAAGAAGTGTATTTTGTTGGTAGAGCGTATGAAATAGCATCTCTTTATCTCCTAGAGATTGGTGTGCTTTAACACTTAATAGGTGCTCATGCACACATATGCACCACATATACAACAAAAACTCTTTTAATATTTAACTTAAAATTAGATAAGAAATGGGCAATTGTTACTTATCAGCTAGTAGTTCATAACAATTAACAAATTTTGTTCAACCATAAAGGTCAAAATAGTAGGGAAATAATGGAGGAAATAAAGTTAAACAAAGTGCTCCTTTCAGCATTAATTAGGTTACATTCTCTCAAAGAAATAAAGAATAAGAGAGTTGTATTTATAGTGGCTCTATTATTAAACTCCTCTTAATGCATCAGTATGTTGTTTAGTTTGTGTAATGATTTATTAGACCTATCATCACATAACATTTCTAGACTCAATTAATACAAATAAGAGGTAAATCTCATGCTAATTTAACACTAAACTCACTCTTTGTCCATCTTTTGTACATTGAACCTCATTGCCTTCTTCATTACAGACTGTCTACAATTGTCAATGAAATCAATTTAGAACTCTCCATCTTAAAAAAAAACACTCTACTAAAATATATCTTTGATTTTCATCACAGAAAATATTACCAATAGAAGGTTCTATATTCTCTGTAAACTTTTTTATGTGTGCTTCAAGGTCTCCTTTTACTCTGTTCATTAGTTTAAATAAAATTAAAACAAAATTGAAATAAATGTAAAACTGTGTGTTTTCCAGAGTTCAATAGTCCTACTATTCTCTCCTACTGTTCTCTCAAATAACATACGCTACCCGAGGGACTGCATTCTCTCTCCTAACAATAACTGTCAGAATGAGGATAATTTTAGGTCTGGCTCAGACATCTATGTAGATTTTCAAAAGAATATATGCAACTCTTTCTGGAAACTCCCTACATGCATGTCCCACAAGCACAGCAGAGTTGACAACTCCAAATATTACTTTTTCTTACTTTCAATGAAAAACCTATTAGAGCACTTCATCCTCATTTACCTGAACAACCATCGCCTTCCAAAGAGAAAATAGATTGTTTTTCAGTGTTCACATTTTTATGCATTATACAGTGCATGACACATAGAAATCAGTTTTTAAATATATTTAATAAATTAATTAATTTGATTTTAACATCTTCCTGGACTATGACTTTTGCAACTGAATGTATGTATAACAAATACACTAAAAAAGTGACTACAATATTTTAGTCCCTCCAATGCTATGTTAAATTGTTGAATCAATTGTAAACATCAGACTAGCCTTGTGACAACCACTGATAACCAATCTAAACAAAGCCACAACACACACCAAATACTATATAAATTAGAAAAGTAAGATAATGAAAAGATAATGTATTGAGCTTTAACATTAAGCATATATTTAATTACCTGGGGATGATGCCATAAATTTTAATTATAGTCATATAGGGGATTAGAAACAAAACTCTGTCTTTTGATAATCAAATTCCCACCCCGAGTCCAGCAAACTCAATCGTAATGAATGAATTGATTTAACAAGTAAGCTATTACTAGCAAAGAACATTGTGAGGCTTCATCTGGAAAGAAGAAAAGAAAATTTTATCAGATCCTGTTAAATATGTCAGCTGTGAGAAACAGAACAATAAAATTAATAATGTGTTTCCTGATAATACAGGAGCAAGCTGAATGATGAATCAGATAGTGTAGCAGATAGTAAAGCTGAAAACTTTGGGACCGATAACAATAAGACTAAGGAGAGTGTTCCTGAAAGGCAAACAAATGAAAAAAGTAAAAATAATAATGGACACGATGGTGATTTAGGTAATGCTGAGAGGCTTATCTTAAAGAGAAATGAAGAAATAATGAATGTTCTGTTTGCTCAAAGTGAATATGAGCTAAATTAGATAAAAAGTGAAAGAAACATTATCACATATTTGTAGATGCTGCATATTGTAAAGCAAATTCTGAAAGAGGTTATTAAAGTTTTAGAGTAACAACCTCTACAGAATCATTCCTAAGGAAACGACCCCTACAATCATCCACCATGAATTTCTTATAATCAAAGTGTTATATACTAGCCTGTACTTAAGGCAAAATTGTATAACTATGAATATGATAGCATAATTTCAGTAATCAGCTTACATACTTACCTTAGGTTATTCTGACCAGTTGCCCCTCTTTTAAATTCTCATTTAGAAAAATATTTTGGAGAACCCATTCTTAAGGCATTAACTGCAAAGCAGAATACAGGGTTCAGCCTTATTCAGCACACCAATCATTACCCTCTTACCGTCTCAGGCAGCCCACATCTTTGAGATCATGTCATCCTGCTTGGGATCAGTAAATCCTAAATAAACAACAGAAACAAAAATATTTTGAAAGTTAGTAATTTTGGTAATTTCCTTCCATTCATGCCACTCTTTCCTATCAGCTTGGGTACTATAGCAGAAGCCATAATCATTTTTTCTAATTTTTTTATACTTCGTACTTATACACAATTCTCACTCCGCTTTTTGGAAACCTTCTACCTGTTGTAAATAAACTGACCTGATTATTTAAAATTCCACTGAATATTATTTTCTACACCTAGGATTAATTGGCTCCTGGTACATAATTGAGACTTTGCTTCTCTTATAGCAATGTAGATTATTAAGCAAATAAAATAAAACAGCTTATTCTAATAGACCTCATCTATTATGAGACCCATGGGTAAAGAATAGATAGACTACAGACTTTATTCTACATACTCAATGCCGCTATATCGTTTTTTTAAAATACTTCAACTATTCAACATAATTCCAAAATCCCTCACATGCAGTAATAAGTATACCTGTGTTTTGACTTTGAAGAGACCTTTAATTTCTTTATGCCCCGGTTTTTTCCAATTCTATCATGTCCCTTACATTTTCTTTTTTTTTTTTTGGATTTGTCTTTTTTTTATTATTATACTTTAAGGTTTAGGGTACATGTGCACATTGTGCAGGTTAGTTACGTATGTATACATATGCCATGCTGGTGCGCTGCACCCACTAACTCATCATCTAGCATTAGGTATATCTCCCAATGCTATCCCTACCCCCTCCCCCTACCCCACAACAGTCCCCAGAATGTGATATTCCCCTTCCTGTGTCCATGTGATCTCATTGTTCAATTCCCACCTATAAGTGAGAATATGCGGTGTTTGGTTTTTTGTTCTTGTGATAGTTTACTGAGAATGATGATTTCCAATTTCATCCATGTCCCTACAAAGGACATGAACTCATCATTTTTTATGGCTGCATAGTATTCCGTGGTGTATATGTGCCACATTTTCTTAATCCAGTCTATCATTGTTGGACATTTGGGTTGGTTCCAAGTCTTTGCTATTGTGAATAATGCCACAATAAACATACATGTGCATGTGTCTTTATAGCAGCATGATTTATAGTCCTTTGGGTATATACCCAGTAATGGGATGGCTGGGTCAAATGGTATTTCCAGTTCTAGATCCCTGAGGAATCGCCACACTGACTATCAATCCCTCACATTTTCATTTTTTACTACACACATCTCTAGTCCTCTGGTTGATTATCTGATTTCTACTTTTAGTTAGCATTTCGTAACCTGGTGTTCGCTAAAAAATAGACATTGCAGTGAAGGCTAAGGCTAATGCTTTATTGGGAAGCACATAGCTAGCACAAAAAGAGTGAGGAAAATGGGCAGGAGGTTAAAGGGAGAAGAATGGAAGCAGATACAAAGCAGTGCATTACTGAATTGTCTACTGCTTAAAAAAAGATATAGCCAATTCATCAGCATGGAGGTCATATCTGGGTAGGTTGTACAGAAATAGTCTATCAAAAGAAGATATAGAGAGGCATTTTTTTTGCAGAACTTTTATCTCCTATCCTACAGTGATCAAAATTTATCATATAAAAAATTAACTTGTTTGCAGTTCCAGTGGTGGTCATTTGAAACTTTTAATGGCCACACAAGAAGCTAGCAGTGATATCCTATCCCTTCATACTTTCTTCAAGTCTAGAAGAGTTGAAGGAGCCAGGCTTTAACTCTAGATGGTGGGACTGCTCAAGCTTACACAAAAATCTTTGTTGTATTGGCTGGTGCAGAACAAATAGTGAGAGTTGGAAGAAATTCAAGACTGAAAAAATCTAAGTCATTTATATGAGATTTGTCTGATATTCAGCAACACCTTCAATTCCTCTGTATCCCAAACTTTGAAGAATTGATCACTGGATAAATTTTCAAATCTATCTTATGTATCGTATGCTAAGAAAGTTGAATCATACAATTCTAAATTAGTGTGACAAAAACTTCTTTGAGTTAATATTTCTGTCATATTCAGATTTTTATAGAAAATATGAAGTATAAAAAATACACTTCACCAGCATCTGTTGTCTCCCGACATTTTGATAATCACCATTCTAACTGGCGTGAGATTGTGTCTCATTGTGGTTTTGATTTGCATTTCTCTAATGACCAGTGATGATGAGCTTTTGTTCATATGTTTATTGGCCACATAAATGTCTTCTTTTGAGAAGTGTCTGTTCATAATCTTTGCCCACTTTTTCATGGAATTGTTTGCTTTTTTTCTTGTAAATTTGTTAAGTTCCTTGTGGATTCTGGATATTAGATCTTTGTCAGATGGGTATCTTGGAAACATTTTCTCCTATTCTGTTGGTTGTCTTTTCACTCTGATGATAGTTTCTTTTGCTGTGCAGAAGCTCTTTAGTTTGATGAGATCTCATTCATCAACTTTGGCTTTTGTTGCCATTGCTTTCGGTGTTTTAGTCATGAGATCTTTGCCCATACCTATGTCATGAATGGTATTGCCTAGGTTTTCTTCTAGGGTTTTTTACGGTTTGAGGTTTTACATTTAAGTCTGTAGATAAATAGAAATGCTTTTACATTGTTGGTGGGAGTGTAAATTAGTTCAACCATTGTGGAAGACTGTGTGGTGATTCCCCAAATATCTAGAAGCAGAAATATCATTTAACCCAGCAATCTCATTACTGGGTATATACGGGAAGGATTACAAATCATTCTATTACAAAGACACAAGCACACGAATGTTTATTGCAGCACTATGTCCAATAGCAAAGATTTGGAACCAACCCAAATGCCCATCAGTGATAAATTGGATAAAGAATATGTGGCACATATACACCATGGAGTAATATGCAGTCATTAAAAAAAGGATTAGTTAACGTCTTTGCATGGACATGGATGAAACTGGAAGCCATCATTCTCAGCAAACTAACACAGGAACAGAAAACCAAACACTTCATGTTCTTACTCCTAAGTGGAAGTTGAACAGTGAGAACACATGGACACAGGGAGGGGAACATTATACACCGGGGCCTGTCCATGGGTGGAGGGAGAGTGGGGGAGATCCTTAGGACAAATACCTAATGCATGTGGGGCTTAAATCCTATATGACGGGTTGATAGGTGCAGCAAACTACCATGACACATGTATACCTGTGTAACAAACCTGCACGTTCTGCACATGTATCTCAGAACTTAAAGTAAAATGTAAAAAATACACTTATTCACCCCTCCCTCACCAAGAACAAATATCTTGGTTGATCTGGAAATCTGGGATTCTTCAGTCTCATGGACAGATGTATCCATGCAAATAATCAGCTCATAAAAAACAGAGTTTAATCGTCTGAAAAGAAAGTCCATCCTCCCATAAAAATCAAAACTGTAAAAAAATTTATTTTAATACAGAAGAATGAAAAACAGTAAAAGAAATGAACAGAGGAATAGAAGGATGGAAGGACAATATTCATGTTCTTTAAAGATATTAATGGAAAACAAGATGGGCTTTTTCATGTTCATTGTGTATAGGAAATATTTAGCCACAACTTCTACTCTCTGGAATTCTAAAACTAAAACTTTAACAGTAATCAACCTCAAGTTTTGCATATCTGTAAAAATTGCAGCAAAAAGAATAATTGGTCCTTGATAACATTTTTGAATTTCGATAATCACATTAAAGCTCCAGATTGATCTTTGGTGATCTAATAAATATTCTTATTACTTAACGTAGCTCAGATAAAGTATTCTTTGACTTCAAGCCCAAATAATTCAATAAATATATAAATTAGTTATACTTGTCAATATTGTTATTTTAAAATATATTCTTCAGTAGATTTTATCATGTTTATAATCTAAAATACACATTTTGCCACTGAGTTATTTCCTAATTTATTACCTATAGAATCATCAAAACAAAAACAAAAAATAGATCAACAAATTATATTGTTCTTCTTCTGTTCTTGCCATTTTAGTATATGTTTCAGAAACTCATTTGTATTCCTCAATATACCTAAAAGAAGTCAAATACAAATTTAGAAAAAATAGATTAGTCTGTGTAATTAAGACTAGATATCAGAAATATTTTGAATTTTATAAGCAAAGTTGAATTATATTGACCCTTTTTAAAACATTCTAATGTTTAAAAATATAAACATTATTAAATTTGAATATTCATTTCTTTCCAAATAAACAATTTGATTATTGCATTTTTATAAAAACTTGAAAAATCAATGTAACCCCTATAGTGTCCTTAAAAACTAAATAACTTAAAAAGTAAAAATGCCGATGTAAACTTTATTTATGGCGATGAATTCCAAATATATGTTTATTGCAATTCATGAAAAAATACAATTTCTTCTAACTCCAAGGAAACATTTTCAATACATTTCAAATAATGTATCTTGAAATATTAAATGTATGTTTTGTTGGGTATTATTATTTTTTAACTTTATTTTCCTTGAGGAAAGAGACAGACGTTTTATATTTCACATGCTGAAGGAGGGATTTACCTTGGAAATGTTACCTTCCTATCTTTTTGCAACTTTGGTTTGGGTTTGATTTTTTTTTCTCCTACTAACACTTTGTTACTCCTTCAAAGCTTTTCTAATTTATTTTCCTGCAATTGTAATGAATAAACTGTCGTTCTCCTGGCAGTAAATATCAGGAACCTGGAGATCATTCTTGTCTCCTGAGTATTTATCATACTACAACTATTCTTACTATTGAAATGTCAAAGAAAACATACACCTAACAGAATTAAACAGGTAAGGAAGACTTTATTCAACACGGTTGCAGTAAGTGGGGAGAAATTGAACTCAACTTCTCTGAAACAAAAGGCTGAAGGGTTTTGAAGTTGTGAGGTGAGTTGTGAAATAACTGGAGGACTTCAGGGGTGGGTTGGTCAATGGAATGTGTTGGGTGCATCAAGCAAGCATTTATTCCTGCTTTTTTTTTTTTTTTTGAGACGGTGTCTCTCGCTCTGTCGCCAAGGCTGGAGTGCAGTGGCGCGATCTTGGCTCACTGCAACTTGCGCCTCCTGGGTTCAAGCAATTCTCCTGCCTCGGCCTCCCAAGCAGCTAGGACTACAGGCGCCTGCCGCCACGCTCGGCTAATTTTTTGTATTTTAGTAGAGACAGGGTTTCACCATGTTGTCCAGGCTGGTGGTGAACTCCTGAGCTCAGGCCATCCGCCCGCCTCGGCCTCCCAAAATGCTGGGATTACAGGCGTGAGCCACCATACCCGGCCTATTCCTGCATTTTCATTCCTGTTTCTCTCTGTAATTAGGTCATTTGTGTTTGCTAATTAGAGCTTATGGATGTTAGGCCCTTACCCTCCCACAGAAGCTGGGAGATTTGGATGCTAGCTTTCCTGATGAGTACATTTCAAAGGATGGCTTCCAAGTCCTTGAAAAAGACTGTGGGTTGTAAAACTGGCAAGAGGCTTTCAAGACAATATGTATACATTTCACGAAGGGGTCAGGGTAAGAATTCGCAATGTTAAGTTTTTAAAGTGAATGCTCTAAGATAAGGGAGGTCTAGCGCTTATGGTCAGGAAGAAACATTTATAAAATTTAGTGAAGCTTAGGGGAATATTAAGGATGTCTTGGTCACAATCAACCTCTATATACCATGAATTTGGCTTTCAAAATATACCTCTCAAATTTATCCTTGTTTTTCACTCCATCCTCACTGTTATTACTCAAGTTCTGGCCACCATTATCCACCACCTGACTTCTTGCAACAGCCTTCTTCTCATTGTTGCTTGAACGTATAGCTATTATATACCTTGCAAGTATACCTGCACCCCACCAAATTATTATTTATAAAGTCACCATAATAATATTTCTAGCACGCAAATCAATTTATGCTCAGCCTTCTTAAAAGATAATCCTTTGACTTCAGGGTAGAGCCCAAATGCCTTTTCCAGGCTTCCTGAGTCCTTCATCAACAGGTCCTGATCACCTCTCCAGTCTATACTTTGCCAATACTGCTCCAGATTCCAAACATTACGTTCTAATTATTTGAAACTCCTTTAATTTTCCAGAATACGGTATAGTCTTCTGAATATAGGCAATACTCATACTGTTTTCCTTTTCTTAATTTTCCTTGTCTACTGGATTTGCCTAGCTTGATTTTCTTTATCTACCAGATCAGAAATGAAATATTACTTAATTTGGAAAGCTTTCCTTGAGCATCTTTGGCTGAAATAGATGTTTTGATTTTTCTATAAGTTCCTATGGCACACTGTATTTTCCCCTTCAAATCACTTATATCTTGAATTTTCATATCCCATTACAGTTTGGCTTTCCAGTTACATCATGTCAGAAATGTTTGTGATTGGATCTCAGTCTTTGTAAAATGCAGTGCATATAATAGCACCACTGTTGAATTAAAAAATTTAAATTTATTCAATTTGTTCTGATTCTACTTGACCAAAACTTTTAGAAATACATTTCTCAAAGAAAAATTATCACAATTCAATATCCATCTCTTTATATCTTTTTTATTTTATTTTTATTAGAAAAGAGTCAGCAAGATTCAATTGAGAGCAAGCTGTTTTGGACAGAAATAACTCTTCTCCTCATCCCCTCTTTCTTCCCCTCCCTCCTCTCCTCTCCCCCCAACATCCCCCACACCCTTTCTCAAATAAAATCCATTTTACCACCTCTAGGTGGAGTTCTTCTTTTCTGACAGAATGCCCAAAACTCACATTAGTATTATATTTGCCACTACAAATTTTAAATTACCAGTCTGGTCCCTGACATTTGAATTATTCCTGGCATATAGGATTCTTCATAATGCTTCGCATAGTTTTCACCTGCTTTTGATATATTAGAGAAAATTGGAATCCACGGAGGGCAATAAAATATTATCTATTCAGCAATGTCTAAATTCACAAAATTCTTCTAAATGTTCATGTGACTCAGCAAGGATTTGATGGACTATAAGAGCCTGCTATTCTGCTTTGTCTGTGTAAAACATAATCCTTAACCACAAATGATTATCATTCTTAAATACAAAAGAGATTTACACTGCTAAAAGTGGCATTGCTTAACAAATAATAATATACTAGAGTCATTTCCAATATCATTTTATTCTATTAAAAAATGAAAGTAGCACATTCTGTGTGTGAATCTATGTGAGTGAATGTGAGTTTTAATTTAGGCAGGATGTAACTAATAAACTGAAAACTCATTAACCTAGTTTAGTGAAATGTATGTTTGATGTCCAAAGGAAGACTGCTCTTAAGATTCAGGTATTGTATGCAGTCAAGATGTAGCTATAAATCACACATAAATATTTGACTTCTTTACTCCTACACCTTGACTGTTCAGCTTACTGCAGAAAATTACAAAGTTATGCAGATTGGTGCCCTCATTTGTAGTCATGACTTCAATAACCATCTATATGATGCTGATGCCCAAATCTATAACCTTAGGATAAATCTTTATCCTGACCTCTAGCTTGAAACATATTTTAATAGTTTATTTATTTGTTTGCTTGGTTTACAATATTTTTCCTTGATTGTGCCCTACATATCTGCAAATAGTTGTGCCCTGAGCATTACACATAAAACTAATCCAAATCTAAACTCATTATAATCCTTGAAAAATATATTCTACTGTATACATTCCATATTTTACCATAAACATTTCCTATTGCCAGTCACCATAAAAAGGAACCCCAAAGAAATGTAAAGGTGCATCTTCTATGCACTATTCACATTAAAACAGTCAAGAAATATTTTTGATTCTACCTCCTAAATATTTTATAAATACATTAAATTTCTTCCATACTTAGTATATTTCTTTAGTTATGGTTTTCATTATTTCATATCAGAAAAATAAAAATTTTCATTGCTTCTTTTTATTCAGCTTCCAAACTAATACAGACACAAATATACATTTATACACTAAAATTAGAAATGTTCAGTTAAAAGTAACCTTTATTTAAAATTCTGATAGCAATTGCTTAATGGCTCTGCATAACCTTTGTACCAATCTATACTTCTAGTATTTCTTCCAAAGTGTTATATTTTTTATTTTTTGTGCTGTTGTTAGCTAATAATAGTAATACATAGAAAAAGTGTTCATATACCCTCCTTTTAATATTTTTTTATTGTCATAAGTAAATTTCCCAGACAATGTTCAAGTCATGATATAAAAGCAGGTATATTTGTCTTGTTTCTGAATAGAGGGTTATCTCTTGAATTCAGTAGATAGGAGAAAATTTGAGATAGAATTTTGGGTATGTTTACACAAGCAAATTAGAGGAGATTCAAAAAAGTATTTAATCAGATTAATTCATTAAAATTATTAAAATAATTTTAATTTTAATTTTAATTATTTTAATTTTAAATTTAAAAAATAAAAATTTTAAATTAAAATTATTAAAATTATTTTAATAATTTTAATGAATTAATATATACGTGTATATTCTTAAGTCAATCATAAAGAAGACCATTGTGGAATTCCTAGAATAAAATACAGTTAACCAAAATATATTATTCCTGATATACACTGAAAAAATAACAATATTGCTGAAAATATTTTGATAAGATTTTACTAAGGAAGTGTTATTTTATAAATTAAAAAATGTTATGTTTTGTTTTCTGCTCTCTTCCTTCTCATAATCCACAAGTGATTTGAACTACTTGTCTTCATGTCTCATCTCCCATTAAATGTTGAAACTATTCCAATTATGCTCTATTTTCATTGCTACTTAGAAAATTGTTCATTAACTTCAACGAAGACATAGAGACCACATAATTCTTCATATATATAAATATACACATATGAGTTTATACACATATATAAAAAACGTATGTGTATGTAAGTATACATATATACAAATACACATAAATACATATACACATACAAAATATGTGGTACAATGGCAAGTTAGTTACATAAATTCTCTATATCTTGATTTTAACACATCTAAAATAGAGATACCATTATTTCATAAAACAACTTATGATGAAATATTTATATGATGTATTATATATGGAATGTTTGAATAAAATATTTTAAACTGCTATATAAATATTAGCTAATCCCTTCACACAAAATACATGCAGTTATCAATAATGTGTGCTTGTAATTCATGGATGTCTTGAGAAGACTCACTTGAATAAACTGAAGAAATAAAAGAATATCTATTTCTCACTACTATCTAATATTTTTGTGTGAAGGTTCTGATGAATTTAATTGGCAAATAAATATTACTAGATAATAAAAATTTGGAAAGAAAATATTTTTTGCTAAAAATATAAATACACTTTCAGAATGTTCAAAAATATATAATACAAATTTATTAGAACCAGTATGTTTTATTATTAAGTAGCCCCTCATAAATATAATTATTAAATATTTTCTGTAGATCTAGGCATGATATTATACATGTAAGAAATATTTAAAATAAATATGAAGTCTAAAAATACTTTCCAGACTTAATATTTGAAAATGGATAAAAATTTAAAAATCATGATTTTTTACTTTTAGGGAAGAAATCGGCCAGTTATCTTGCATAGCTTAGATAAATATGTCTAAAAATTGAAATGTTGCTTTTAAAACATTTAAATTAGAAAAAAATGCTCTAAATTATTGATATAGAAGTTTAGTTTATATAAGGCAGTGTAAAATATCAAAAGGGAAATATTCCTACATAAACAAAATTTTTTAAATATCTTGATACATGTTTGAATCTTATTTTGATATTTTTTTAGTATTCTATAAATCCTGTTTTTGTTTGTTTATTCCACAAAGTAATCATAATTTCAAAAGTCAGTAATTAATTTTATTTCCTAATACATTATTAATATGGTTAAGTGAAGTGGTGATTTTCTGCAGAGTTCATCTACTCTACAGATGAATTATTTACGCCAATATTTTGTTTTCTACTAATATTATGCATGAATTGTGGATTGTATGTACAGTTTTATACCAAAATTATGCAACCTCTATGAACCTGATTATATTAAGGACAACAAAAGAAATCAGACAAAAATTTAACAGAAAATAATAATTTTTTGTCTTATGCATATAAAATAATTATTCTGTAATTTAATCTGCTAAAAGCAGAGAATAGAGACAACATACACCAGTGTATTTGTTTTCATTATTTATTAATGGCACATAATGTTTTATATATTTATGGAATACATATGATATTTTGTTACATGCATAGAACAATCAGTTCGAGGTATTTGAGATATTTATAACTTTGAGTATTTATCATTTCTATGTGTTGGAAGCAATACATGTCCCCTCTTCTAGTTGCTTTGATATATACAGTACATTGTTGTCAATTATATTCACTCTACTCTGCTTTCAAACAATAGAACTTAAACCTTTTATCTGTGTTTGTACCCATTAACCAACCTCTCTTTATCCCTACTTCCCTGCATCTTTTCCCAACATCTAGTATTTATCATTTTACTCTACTATAATGACATCAAATTTTTTAGCTCCCACATATAAGTGAAAACATGCAATATTTGTCTTTCTGTGCCTTGCTTGTTTTGCTTAATGTAATAACCTTCAATTTCATCTATGTTGCTACAAATGACAGAATTTCTTACTTTGTTTATGGTGAAATACTATTAAATTGTATGTGTGTGTGTATAGCATGCTTTCTTTATCCATTCATCTATTGATGAACACTCAGATTGACTCCTTATCTTTGCTATTATGAATAGTGCTGTGATAAACATGGAAATGCAGATATCCCTTTGATATCCTTGTGGGGGATCAGTCAGAGTGGTGGGAAAAACTGTAGGGAAAGGACACATACCTTCTGAAAGGTCGGAAGGTTCTGCAGAACCCTGAGAAAGAATAGCTGAAGGCAGCTGTTCTATAACCCTGAGGCAGAGGGCAAGTAGTAGATACAAGGGAGTGTGGGGGAATTTGTCTTAAACAAGCTTGTTTACTTGTGTTGACCAGGAACTGACTTTGATCATCTGTGTGTGACATTCCCTGAAAGGGGAACAATAAATGTTAATTTCCTACAGGTTGTGTTGGCTCCAGGTTTTTGGCATTGTGCCTGCACTGAATAAAAGCAAGCAGCTCCACCTTCTTGGAGCTGCTCTCTGGCCACTACAGCCAGGCAGTCACCTAGCTGCTCTTACACTGCATACCTGTGTCTGAGTGCTCATTTCATCTGTTGACCAGGGTCTGCAGGACAGACTGGGCATATCATGATTTTTTTTAATAGATACCAAATAGATTGCAGGATCATGTAATAGTTCCATTTTTCATTTTTTGAGAAGTCTCCATGCTGTTTCCATAGTGGTTGTACTAATTTACATTCCCACCAACAGTGTATAAGAGTTCCCTTTTCTCCACATCCTTGCTAGCGTCTGTTATTTTACTTATTTTTAAAAAAATAATGACCATTCTAAATGGGATGAGATGTTATCTCATTGTGGTTTTGAATTACATTTCCTGATAGATGATGTTGGGCATTTTTTCATATACCTGTTGGCCATTCATGTATCTTCTTTTGAGAACTGTCTATTCATGTCTTTTGCCCATTTTCAGTGGGATTGCTTTTGTTGTTTTTTTGAGATGTTTGTGTTCCTGGTATATTCTGGATATTAGTTTCCTCTTGGATGAATAGACTTCAAGTATTTTCTCCTATTTAAGAGATTGTCTTCTCACTCTTTCAATAGTTTCTATTCCTGTGCAGAAGTTTTCTGCTTTAATAACATTACGTTTGTCTATTTTTGTTGTTATTGCCTGTACTTTTGGAGTCTTAGCCATGAATTGTTTGCCAAGCCCAATGTCCTGAATAGTTTTGCTTCTGTTTTTTTCTAATATTTTTATATTTGGGGTCTTATGTTTAATCCTTCTTGCTTTGACTTTTGTACATAATGAGTAATGTAGTCCACCTTGACTCTTCTGCATATAGATATCCAGTTTTCTCAGCACCATTTACTGAAGGGATTGCCCTTTCCCCAGCGTATGTTCTTGGCATCTTAGTAGAAAATTAGTTCACTGTAGATGTAAGGATCTATTTATGGGTTCTCTATTCTATTCCATTGGTCTAAATATCTATTTTTATAACAATACCATACTTCATTTGCTGCAGCCTTTTAATATGTTTTGAAGTCAGATAGTGTGATGTCTCCAGCTTTATTTCTTTCCCTCTCAGGATTGCATTTTCTAGGCACTTTTATGTTCCATATTAACTTTAAGATTTTTTACCCTATTTCTGTGAAAAATGATGTACATATATTTATAGGGAATGCATTGAATCTGTATATTGCTTTAGATAGTATGGTCATCTTGACAATACTGGTTTTTTAGATTCATGAATATGGGATTTCTTTCCGTTTGATTGTGTCCTCTTCAATTTATCAGTGCTTTGCAGTTTTCCTTATGGAGATCTTTCACTCTTTGATTAAATATATTCCTAGGTGTAGCTATTGTAAACAGAATTATCTTCTTGATATTTTTCAGCTATTTTATTACTGGTTTATAGAAATGCTACTGATTTTTCTATGCTGATTTGGTATCCTGCGATGTTATTAAATATTTATCAGTTCTAATAATTTTCTGGTGGAGTATTTTGATGTTTCTAAACATAAGAACGTGTCATTGGCAAAGAGGGACAATTTGACATTCTCTTTTCCAATTTAGATGCCGTTCATTTCTTTCTCTCACTTAGTTGGTCTAGCTAGAACTTCCAGTACTATGCTGAATGGATGTGTTTAAAGTGAGCATCCGTGTCTTGTTCAAGTTTTTAGAGGAAAGGCTTTCCATTTTGTCCATTTAATATGATGTTAGCTGTTGGTTTGTCATAAATGACCATTATTATTTGCATATATGATTCTACTATTCCTAGTCTTAGAGAGCTTTTATCATAAAAGGATGGTTGGATTTTGTCAATGCTTTTTCTTCATCTGTCGGGAAAATAATATAGATTTTTGTCCTTCATTCTGTTGATGTGAGTGTCACTATTATTCATGTGTGTGTGTTGAACCATCCTTGCATCCTTGGGGAAAAATCCCACTTGATCATGGTGTGTTCTTTTCAATGTGATATATTTAGTTTGCTAGTGTTTTGCTGAGGAGTTTTGTATGTATGTTGATCAAGGATATCAGTCTGTAGTTTTCTTTTTGTGGTGTGTCCTTGTCTGGTTTTGCTCTCCAAGTAATGCTGATAGCAAATTATCTTGTTGTTTGTCACTCACAGAATGAGTTAGAGTGAAATTTTTTGAAATAATTTTTAGGAGGGTTGATATTAGTTCATCTTTCTACATTTGGTAGAATTTGGCAGTGAATCCATCTGGGCCTGGGTTTTTTTTATTGTTGTTGGAAGATGTATTTTTAATTCTGATTCAATGTCACTACTCATTATTAGTCTCTTTTTGTTTTTTGTTTGTTTTGTTTGTTTGTTTTTTTCTATTTCTTCCTGACTCACTTTTGGTGGGTTATATGCTTCCAAGAATTTATCTCTTTCCTCTAGGTTTTCAAGTTTGTTAGGGTATAGTTGTTCATAGTAGTCTCAGTTAATCCTTTGTATTTTTGTGGTATCAGTTGTAGTATTTCCTTTTTCATTTCTGATTTGGCTTATTTTGGGTTGTTGCTCCTCTTTATTGGTTAGTTTGTCTAGCCATTTATTAATTTTATTTGTCTTTTTTAAGAAGCAACTTTTCATTTCCTTGTTCTTTTGTATTATTATTATTATTATTTTGGCCTGCATTTTGTTTATCTCTATTCTGACCTTTAATATTTATCTTTGTCTGCTAATTTTGGGTTTGGTTTATCTTTGCTTTTCTAATTCCTTGAGTTATATCATTAGATTTTTATATTTGAAATCTTCCTACTTTTTTGATGTGGTGGCTATTGCTATACACTTCCATTTTAGTACTGCTTTTTGTCTCAAAAAAGTTTTGTTATATTTTCCTTTCATTTTCATTAGTTTCAAGAATTTTGTTTTTAATTTCCATCCTAGTTTCTTCATTGACACAATGGGGTACAGCAGAAATTTGTTTTTTATTTTTATTTTTTTGAGATGGAGTTTCACTCTTGTTGCCCAGGCTGGAGTGCAATGGTGTGATCTCGGCTCAACGCAACCTCTGCCTCCTGAGTTCAAGCAATTCTCCTGCCTCAGCCTTCTGAGTAGCTGGGATTACAGGCATGTGAGACAATGCCCTGCTCAGTTTTTTTTGTGTGTGTGTTTTTAGTAGAGATGGAGTTTCTCCATATTGGTCAGGCCGGTCTCGAACCCCCGACCTTAGGTGATCTGCCTTTCTCGGCCTCCCAACATGTTGGAATTACAGGCGTGAGCCACCGCACCAGGCCTTTATTAATTTTTATATATTTGTATAATTTTCAAATTTCCTCCTGGTATAAGTTTCTAGTTTTACTCCATTGTGGCCTGAGTAGATACTTGATATGATTTCTATTTTTTTTAAAGTGCTGAGTTTTTTTTTGTGTGTGTGACCTAACATAAGCTCTGTCCCAGAGAAGGCTCTATATGCTAATGCGAAGAATGTGTATTCTCAAGGTGTTGGATAAAATGTTCTGTAAATGTCTATTGGGTCTATTTAGTCTAGAGTTCTATTTAAATGCAATATTCTTTCTTGATTTTCTGTATTGGTGATCTGCCTAATGCTGAAAGTATGGTGTTACAGTTCCCCACTAATATGTTATTGAAGTCTATATCTTTCTTTAGATCTAGTAATGTTTGCTTTGTGAATCTGGGTGCTCTAGTGTTGAGTGCATATATATTTATAATTGTTATATTCCATTGCTGCATTGATGCCTTTATCATTATATAATGAATTTCTTTGTCTTTTTAAAATGGCTTTTGAAGTAAAGTTTCTTATATGTGATATAAATATAGCTATTCTTGCTTGCTTAGTTTCTATTTGTGTGGAATATCTTTTTCTATCCCTTTACTTTCAATCTATTTGCCTCTTTACAGGTAAAGGATGTTTCTTTTAGGCAACATATAATTGAGTCTTGTTTTGTCTTTGGTTTGTTTTGTTTTATCTATTCGGCCAGTCTATATCTTTTAAGTATATATTTTAATTAATTTACATTTAAGATTACTATTGATAAGTAAGGTTTTATTTGTGTGTGTGTATTTTTTTTTTTTTTTTTTTTTTTTGAGACAGAAGTCTTGTTCTGTCACCCAGGCTGGACTGCAGTGGTGGGATCTCAGCTCACTACAGCCTCTGCCTCCCAGGTTCCAGCAATTCTCCAGCTTCAGCCTCACGGGTAGCTGGGATTACAAGGCACGTGCCACCACGGTCAGCTAATGTTTGTATTTTTTAGTAGAGATTGGGTTTCACCGTTTTGGCCAGGCTGGTCTCAAACTCCTGACCTCAGGTGATCCGCCCACCTTGGCCTCCCAAAGTACTAGGATTACAGGTGTGAGCCGCTGCACCCAGCCTATTTGTGTTTTATTGTTAATTGTTTTCTGGTTGTTTTGTGTATTCTTTATTCTTTTCTTCTCTCTTATTATTTGTCGTTGTGGTTTGGTGGTTTTCTGTTCTGGTATCACTGAGGTTTTCTTTTTCTTATTTGTATGTTTGCTTTACAAGTGAGTTGTATACTTTTGTATTTTTTCATGGTGTTTAATGTCAGAGCCTCCTGTAATTAGATGAGAATCTCAGAGCCTCCTGTATTTAGATGTCTAAATCTCCTGCTAAACTTGGGAAGTTTTTAATTATTATTAGATTTTTGAAACTTTAGTTCTCTCTTTGCCTTCTGGGACACATAATTTGTATATTTGGTTGCTGCATAGTGTGCCATATATCATGAAGACTTTGTTCATTTATTTTTATTTTTTTAAATTTATTTTTGTTTGATTGGGTTATTTCAAAAGACTTTTCTTCAAGTTTTGGAATTATTTCTTCTGCTTAATCTACTCTATTATTGAAGATTTTTAATGTATTTTGTATTTTATTCATGAGGTTTTAATTTCCAAAATTTCTGTTTGATTTTTAAAATAATATTTCTTTCACATTATTTTATATCTTTGCTAAATATCTCATTCATATCTTGAATAGTTTTTCTGATTTCTTTGTATTGTTTGTCAGAAATCTCATGTATTTTACTGAGCTTCTGTAGAATCAATAACTTGAATACTTTTTAAGAGTTTCATGAATTTATTTTTAATTGAGATTTGTTTCTAGAGGATTAGTATGTTCCTTTGGAGGTATCATATGTTCTTGCTTGTTTGTGTTTCCTGTGCCCTTATGTTGATACCTTTGCAGCTTGTATAAGAGTTGCTTCTTTCAATTTTTGAATTTTCTTCCATGGGGAGAGCATTTCCCCAAAGATTTTTCTGTGGTCTTGGTTGGGTAGGGCACTTCGGCTTTGATTCTGGGTGCATGCAGTGTTGTAGCCTCTGTATGATTTCTTCAGCTATAAACAGCCTTAGTGGTTTTTGTGGTATCTACTCACTTCAGGGGCTAAGGGTGCAGTTATTAATGGATGATGTGGTCAAGTTTTTCTGGAGGTTAGGACACCATGTAGGCCAGGCCTTGGGGCCCATAGTGGCAGCAATGGGCTGAGCAGGCATGTCTTTGGGCCAAAGGACAGCATTTGTGGGCACTGATGTTAGCAGATACAATAAGGTGAATTATTGAGTTTCCAGGTGGCTTTGTCAAATGGTAGTAGTGGCAGCAGTGGGCTAGGTGTGTGGGCAGGTTCTTGGGCTTATTGTCAGACAGCATGGGACAGACAATGGAAATGGCAGTGCTAGGACCACCCTTTGGGACCTGAGCAATGCATACTGGCTTTGGTTATGGCTGCAATGGGCAGTTAAGGCCAATCTTCAGGCCTGCAGGTGTCATATGCAGGCAAGTGTCAGCTAAATGGTAGCAGCCTGCTGGCTAGTCCCAAACTCAGCTCCTGCAGAGGAGTATTCAGGTGACACTAATTTTATACTTGGCTGGGTAATCCTCTGTCCCCTGGATTGTGTTCTATGGAGCAGTGCTGGGACAGACAAAGTTGGGCTGGGCAGGCTTGTCCCCAGGCCCCTAAATAGTCTCTACCATCATCAGCCATGGTAGGCAAAGACCTCAGGCTACTGTAGAATGCTCAGATGTGAAGTGGCAGCAGTCATGCCACTACCTTGCCACTGGTGAGGGTGGTGCCACCTTTTGTGGTGGCAGTCTAGGCTGACAGTTGGGGAATGCATGCACCACTCGCACATTCTTCCCAGTGGTGCTCTTGCCCCACCTGGTGCTCTTTCCCCACCCCACATGGTGATAGACCATGCCTTGGTCATGCCTCAGCCCCTGGTACAGGAGCCTGTGCTTTGGTCATGCCTCAGCCCTCATTGTGGTAGCCTGTAGCCACTCTCACCTCAGCCCAAGTGGCAACAGTCCACATTTCTCTTGCACCTCAGCCACAGCACCCCTGAGCTCCAGAACAGTGAGCAATCTTCTGGTTATAAGGGCTCTAAAGTGGAAATTTGCTGTACCTGCCTAAGTCCAGGGAGCCTGTGGGACCCACAGAGACCTTCCTTCCTGGAGTAGTGCCATCAAACCATCTCCTGGCAGTTTCCTATGTTAGTTTCAGAGCCCAGGAGGGTCAAGGGGTTCTTCCATGGCTAGGATTACAGGAGTCCGTGGAAAGAATGTGGAACACTAAGTATAATGTCACTTATACTTTTACCATATTAAGGAGTCTATCTCGGCTTCGAGCCAACCCTGGCCAAGCAGGCTGCCCTGCTTCATTCTCCATCCTTGCTTTAAGTATTTCCTGATACTTTTCTCTTGAATTCCAGTGTTCTTTCTTGGATGATCTATTTGAAGTGTGATTATCTACTCACTATTTTGTTTCTTCTTAGTGGAGGGAGTGAGTACAAAATGTCTTATCTGCCATCTCAAAGCCCCTCCTGTCACCAACGTATTTTTAAAACCTAATTCAATCTTGAAATTAAAACTAGTAAAAACATTATAAAGTTGAGACTGGGCATGGGGGCTCACACCTGTAATCCCAGCACTGTGGGAGGACAAGGCAGGCAAATCACCTGAGGTCAGGTGTTCGAGACCAGCCTGGCTATCATGGTGAAACCCCAACTCTACTAAAAATACAAAAATTAGAGTGTGGTGGCACGTGCCGGTAATCTCAACTACTCAGGAAACTGAGGCAGGAGAATCACTTGAGACTGGGAGGTGGAGGTTGCAGTGAACCGAAATCATGCCACTGCACTCCAGCCTAGGTGACAGAGTGAAAAAAAAAATTGAAAATGCATCATTTTAATAAGATGCAAAAATTCTAAGTTAGACATTAGGAGACAAATTTAGCAATATATTTAAAGATTACTATACCACAATAATAAAATTGTATTTTTTTCACTAAAAATAATCCAATATTAAATATCTTACATAATTTTTTTTATTGGAGAAGCACAAGGAAAAACCTTGCATTTTAAAAACTAACAATCATTTAAGTAAAATCTGTGATTCATTCATTAATGAAACTAATAAGAGAAGGAAGAATTGAAACTTCTTTACATGTAAAAAATACTGTCTCTGAGTTTCATAGCTAACATCTATCCTAAAAAGCTGACATATTACATTTATTCAAATTAAAGTCAGAAACAATAAAAATTGGTAACTTTCATTGTTACTGAGTACCATTGTCTTTAAAATTCTAGTAAGAGTGAATGGTCAGGAAAATAAACATTATTAATCTATTTCTTCTCTTTCTCTATTTGAAATAAACATACAAACACCTTAATTTTACAGAAAAATATTAAAAGGCAACAAAAATAAATATTTTATGTACTTAAACTCAAAAATCGTTGCTGGTCATTTATTCTGCCTTTTCCCCTCTATATGTCTATAGATTACAGTTACTGCCCTCGCTCCTTCTTTCCTAGTTGCATTCTTATTATTGCCTGTGAGAGTCTTTTTATTTTCCATATAATCAGCATAATCAAATGTGATTGAATGGAATGCAAAATTAGTCATGTGATTTCCCCAACTTTTTATTTTTCGGAGTAGCAAGAGAAAAAATTACAGAAATGTTTTGAAGCTTTCTATTAGAAACTGCAAACATACAGTAATTTTTAAATAACATATGATCATTAGATTGTCAAGTTTGTGAAGGTTCTGAGATTTTACCAGACTACAAGTTAACCTCTTAGCTTGCTGCAGCTTTGTGGAACCTAACAGAAGACACAATACTTCTGAGTTACAGAAGTATTGCTCACGGCACAGAAAGCAGCATGGACATCAGCACATACAAGTTACTTCCCCTTGTCCACAGATCTCATGGGAGCAACAGAGAGGTGCCCAGATGACACGTGCACATGAGTGGGTTGCATCACAGGAGAAATTACTTTAAGAGACCTGAAATTTTGTAACTGGTAGTGAGCATGCTTTCCCTTGCTCCAGGCCACAGTTTGTGGAATGCTGCCTTACATCAATAACCACTTTATCATTTTCATACCAAAGGAAAAGAACAATTTTCTAATATCATTTATTATAATCAAATGCATGCATTTGGCTTTTACACATGGCAGTTTTTTTTTTCAAACTAGGATTTAGAATCCGGAATAGTTCATTGGCTATTGTTGTTATGTCTCTTTATTTCTTTTAAAATATAATATTAACACATTTGTTTTTCTTTTCAGTGACTTTATATTTTTAAAGCAAACAGGCAAGTTTCCTTTTAGGCATCAAATATTATGGATTTTCCTATTTCCCTGTGATATTATTTAATTCTGTATCCAAAGTGGATGATAACTTCTTAACTTTAATTCAACTCAGGTTTAAAAATTTGGGCAAGAATTCTTTACAGTGATTCTGGGTACTCAATATTGCATCTCATTAGGCAGCACACACTATTAGGAAGTCTAAATTTCAGTGATACTAATTTTAATTACTTTGTTAAAGTAATGATGGTCAGCTCTCTTGCTCATAAAAATAATTCCCTTTTTCAATTAGTAATATTTATAATAGTAAAGCATTCTCTTTCAACCAAGGATTGTAGCCTATATTGATGATTCTGCTGAATCTATCATTTCAACACTAGTAGCAAGATGATGATTTTCTTAGTACTCTCCATATTTTAAAAAGTGAATTACTTGACAAATTTGTATTAAGAATTCACTAAATGTGAACAACAGGTTTTTTTAGAAAGTTGTATTAAATCTTTATTTCATCTACTGCTTGTTTTTTTCATAGAAAGTAGTTTTTGTCATGGTGTTTCCAATAATGGAAATATTTTTTCTCTCTTAATCCAATGGACAATGAATATTTAGTTTTATGTTTATATTTTCTAAAATGAAGTATTGTGGCATGCTTAAAGCTGTATCTGGTGTACGATGGAAAACCCTATTGTTTATTGTAGATGTCCTTGCTCTTTGGCACAATAAAATCCCGTGCAATCATAGAGTATTTACCAAATCTCCAAAGTCTGTTTCTTTATTCACATTAATACCTGGGTGGAATGTAGTTTATTGCTTCCGAGTGTCATATTTTCTAGGTTCTCTCTGTGGTAAAGATTAGAAAATATATTTTTAAAGTTGATTATAAAAATTTAATTTTCCAAGTCCAATACAGATTTTTTCAAATGTAAACCCTTATGTTATAGTTTTACTCTGAATATTTTTATTCCTAAGATTAGAAAATATATTTTTAAGTTGATTATAAAAATTTAATTTTCCAAGTCCAATACAGATTTTTTTTCAAATGTAAACCTTTATGTTATAGTTTTATTCTGAATATTTTTATTCCTAATTTCATTTATATACTTTCTATTTCCTACCCTAAACATTTATAAAAGTTAACATAGCAATATTGATTACTAAAAGAGAAAAATGAAGAAATTTTCTTATTTTTTCACAGAATATTATTCTTAGAATTCAAGATGAAGAATATACTGTAAGAATACATGTTAGTTACTTATATATGTGGCCAAGCTGACTTATGCTTTAAAAACTGTTTTCATTTTATTTTAAATTTTGGTTTTGATTACTTTACTTTTTAATTTATTTTAGAATATTTTAAAACAATATGCATTGCCAACAAAATCTTGAAAAAGAACAGTTATAGGACACATAATTCCCTATTTGAAAACTTACTACGATGCCACAGTAACAAAAAAAGTGTGGTACTGGCATAAAGATAAACTGATAAATCAACAAAATAGAACCTTTGCATTTATGGTCTTGTTTTTTACAAAGGCACCAAAACAATTGAATGGGGAAAGAATAGTCTTTTCAGCAAATGGTGCTAGAACAACTGCACATACACATGTAAAAGAATGAATGAAGATGAACCCCTACTTCTAATTATATATAAAATTAACTCAAAAGAAATTATAAATGTTAGAGCTCAACTATGCAACTCTTAAAATAAAATACAAGAGTAAATCTTCATGAACTTAGGTTAGGTAATGTTTTCTTAGATATAACACCAAAAGAACAAATGTGGAAGAAAAACAATAGATAAATTAGAGTGGTTTCAAAAATTTAAAACCGTTGTACTTCAAAGAACACCATCATGAAAGTGAAAAGACAATTCACAGAATGGGAGAAAATATTCGCAAATTATAGATTTGATAAAAAATTGTATCCAGAAGATATAGAGAATACTTACAACTAAATAATAAAAAAGGCTAGTAAGTCCATTTAAAATGGGCAAAGGACTTGAAGAGACATATTAACCTTCAGTCTCTTCAATCAGAAGGATATATGGCTGTCAAGTAATGCATCAAATGTCTATCATTAATCATTAGGCAGATGCAAATTAAAACCACAAAGAGATATCACTAATCACTTATCTGAATGGCTTAAAATTTAAAAAAAAATGCCAAATGTTTATGAGGATGTGGAGAAGCTGAATCACTCATAAATAGCTGGTGGGAATGTAAAATGACACAGCCACTCTAGAAAACAATTTGGCAGTTTCTTACAAAACTAAGCATGCACGTTTCACATGACCAAACTATTGTACTCCTAAGTATTTATTCCACAAAAATAAAAATTATGTTTATGCAAAAACAAAAGCAATACAAACCAAAAAGCTGTACATGAATGTACCTATCAGTTTTATTTATAATACACCTAAACTAGAAACAACCATCTTTTATTCAATGGATGGATTGGTGAAACAAGCTATGATACATCCTTAATATGGAATAATACTCAGCAGTAAAGAGTAATGAAGTATTGACATACACATCAACTTGGAAGAATTTTCAGGGGATTATTCGGAGATAAGAAACCTAATTCTAAAAAATATTACATATTGCTTATATTAGATCTTTAGAATGAAAAACTTACGCAAATGAAAAACAGATTAATGGTTTCCAGGGGCTTGAAAATGGGAGCATATGGAGATTGTTTGTGTCTACAAAAGGGCAACAAGCGGGATCTTTGTAGTGATGTAAATGTCCTATAACTTGACTGTATTAATGTTGGTATCCTGGTTGTGATATTGCACTATAATTCCGCAAGACGTTTCCATTGTAATAAACTAGGTAAAAGGTGGAGTGATATATCTGCATATGAACCACCAGTACCGTCAGATACAAAGTTAAACAAACTAAACACCAAATGAGAAAACAAAAACAAAAACAAAAACGAGATCTGTGTTAATAGAAGTGTTTACAAATTTGTGACCTTGACTATTACTGTGACTTCTCAGGAACTAAAGTTTTCTGGTTGTTTTAATGTCATAATAATAAGCAGCTGTTCATCACAGATTTCAAGATCATTCCTCTTTGTAACTGTTGACAAATATCCTCCCATTACTTTGATTTAGAATCTCACAGCCAGCTTTTTTGGGGAAAATATATTATGTTTATATATTCTTTTCTCACTGAAAATTAGTTTTCTCACTGCTTTCATTGGTATTTTCTAATTGCTAGTTAATTTTCTATTGTAATTCCATAGCATCTGCTCTTTGATACTGTTTGACTCTCATTTTCTTTTGGAAAAATAATCACAGATATATGGGTGCTAGTATTTAGTTGGTGGAAGTTGCTCCATGGCACTGATTCACATCCATTTCTAGGTAGACTGCCTGTGGAAAATTATGCCTTGTGGAACTTAATGCTGAAATAATTCTTAAACAAGGTTAGCATGTTCTCATGGGGAATTTGATAATGATGAACCAACAACCTAAACTGGTGAGCTTCTCCCAGAACTTGGCAAATTCGTTCATTATGCCACCATCTTTGTGACTGAAAGTAATCAAGTCTCAGGAAAAACAGACCAAAGGCCCAGGGAGTCCATGGCAAAGTCAGGAGAGAGGGTGGCCATGGTGTCTTCACTGGCTCTCAGTTTCATGTCATACCATTTAGAAGGGGTGACGGACAGAGTGAGATACCCAGTAGCCACCACAAGGGTGGGCAGGACCACCACATTTGCACAATCAAGCATCATTTCTGTGTTGCCTTCTACATTCCTTTACCTCTTTTTATAGTTACAATTGTTTCTCTTAGCTCTTGAAATTTCTATCCACCATTCGACTTACTCTTACTTTTGTTTC
Source organism: Homo sapiens (assembly GCF_000001405.40). Classification (NCBI taxonomy): domain Eukaryota; kingdom Metazoa; phylum Chordata; class Mammalia; order Primates; family Hominidae; genus Homo; species Homo sapiens. The sequence continues at coordinate 86,725,156 of NC_000013.11, read as the reverse complement.
TCTTGCCAGCTTGTACAACCACAGGAACATGAATATGAATTTTATGTCCTATAATTTTGAATAGTGGTAACATAGGAATTTAGGAGAAAGCTTTTTTGGGGGGAAATAATATGAAAGATCAAAACATTTCTCTTGCTATTTATTCACTTATTAAATTCTAAGATTCTGGTATCATTTTCCTTCTGGCTAAAAAACTTTCTCTAGCAATTCTTTTAGCACAAGTTCGTTTACTTCAAAGAGGTTTTTTTTTTTTTTCGTCTGAGAATGTCTTTGTTTCATCTTAGTTCCTTACGGATGTTTTCTGTATATATAAATACCAGAGTTCATTTTAGCAACTTTAAAAATATTGTGGCACTTCCTTTTATTCTCCATGATTTCTGACGAGAATTTCAGTAACCCAAATTATTGCTCTCCTATAAGCAAAGGATTATTTTTCCTCCATTGTTTTTCTTCCTCAGGATTTTTGCTTTGTGTTTATTTGATTATAATGTGTCTGGGTATTTTTTGGGGGGGTTGTACTTTTTTTGAAATTTACCACGATTCCTGAATCTGTAATTTTATGTCTTTTGCCAAACTTGAGGGGTTTTTGAATATTACTAGTTGAAACATATTTCAACAATACACGTTTTTCTACCTCATCTGGGACCCCAAGACACAAGTGTTAGACCATATGTTATTGTTATACAACTCCATTTGACCATATTCATTTCTTTTCTTTTGATCTCTTTTCTCTGTGTTGTTTGGATGAGTAATTCCTGTTAATCTATTTTCAGGTTTACTGATTATTGTGTTCTCCATTTCCTATCTGTTATTTTTCTAAATTGTTTATGTTAAAATTATATAAATAACATAAATTTAACCTGTTAACAATTTAAAGTGTATATTACATCATTGTTAATTATATGTAAATTGTTGTATAGCAGATCTCAAGAACTTTTTTATCTTGCAGTACCGAAAATATGTACCCATTGAACAAATCCCTGTTTCCTCCAACCCCATCTCCTAGCAACCTCTATTCTATTTTCTGTTTTTCTGGTTTGATTACCTTACATACATCATATAAATGGAATCATTCATTATTAGTTTTTTTGTGATCTCAAGGTTCTTCCATGTTGTAGCATATGCCAAGATATCTTTCTTTTGTGAGGCTAATTATATTCCATTGTATGTATGCACCACATTTGCTTTATGCATTCATTCATAGATGGACATTTATTTTGGATCCACCTCTTGACTATTGTGAATAATGCTGCAATAAACATTGATGTGCAAATATCTCTTTGAGACCCTATTTTTAATTTATTGGATATATAATCAGAAATGGAACTACTGGGCCGGGCTCAGTGGCTCATGCCTGTAATCCCAGCACTTTGGGAGGCCGAGGCAGGTGGATCACCTGAGGTCAGGAGTTCGAGACCAGCCTGACCAGTATGGTGAAACATCCTCTCTACTAAAAATACAAAAATTAGCTGGGCGTGGTGGTGTGTGCCTGTAGTCCCAGCTACTCGGGAGGCTGAGATAGGAGAATTGCTTAAACCCTGGAGGCGGAGGTTGCAGTGAGCCACTGCACTCCAGCCTGGGTGACAGAGCGAGACTCCATCTTATAAAAAAGAAAAAAGTGGTAGAACTGCTGAGGCATATGGTAATTCTATTTTTATTTTTTGAGGAACATTCATGCTGTTATTCATAGTGGCTATATTGTTTAGCAATCTCACCAACAGTGTGCAAGAGTCCCAGTTTCTCCAGATTCTCATGACTTATTATTTTCTGTTTGTCATTGTTGTCATTTGACAGCAGCTATCCTAACAGATGTAAGCTGATATCTCACTGTGGACTAAATTTGCAATTATTTGAATATGATTTTGAACATATTTTCATACATCTTTGGCCATTTGTATAGCTTCTTTGGAGAAAAATCTCAAGTATTTTGCCCATTTCTTAATTGAGTTTTTTTTTATTATTATTAGGTTGTAGAAGTCCTTTATATATTGTGGATATTAACCCTTTATCTAATATATGCTTTGCAAATATTTTCTCAGATTATGTTGGTTGCCTTTTCACTTTATTGTTTCCTTTGCTGCACAAAATATTTTAAGTTTAATGTAGTATAATTTATTTTAGTCTTTTTCACCTGTGCTTTTGGTTTCATTGGACCTTCTAATGCCCTGAAGCTTTTCTCTTATGTTTTCTTCTAGGAGTTTTATGGTTTTAGGCCTTATGCATAAATCTGTGAGTTAATGTATATATATGTTGTAAAATAAGACCCATCTCCATATTTGGCATGTGGATATTCAGTTTCCCAAACACCACTTGTTGTTGTTTTATGTTTAACTTTACTTTCACCAGTTTAGTATAAAGGATACAATTCAGGAACAGCCAAGAGGAAGAGATGTAAATGGCAAGGAAAGATGGAGCGAGTAGGTAACCCTGCTAAATAGCCATGATTGAGAAAATCCCCCTTCAGTTGTGCTCTCCAAGAGCAGCTTACTGCAAAGAGACATGCTTACCATTATGACTTATATGACTTATATGATGCTCACTTTGTAACTATCACAAAGCCAGACACAGACTCTGCAAATTCCCCTTTTTCTTCCACAATCAAATGAACAATTTTATCTTCAGTGGTCAGAACAAAATACTTGTTAAACAAATTTTGCTTAAGATTCTCTCCTTCCCACAGGCCTTGAACTTTGATTCACCCTCAGTCTGAGCTTACATACAACTTATCTTTATGCCTCCTCCTAAGAATAGGCTAACTTCAGGGTGAAATATCCTCTGATCTGGGATCTAATTTTGCCACACTCCATACTGCCCTCCAGCTTTCATCTTTTTTCAAATCTTTTTTGCTCCTCCCTGTAAAAGGAACCCCTTATCTTCTTAACCTTTCAAATACTTGCAGATATTTTGCTTGGTGCTTCCCATCTATTGCAATACCCCTTTAGATAAAGTCAATTCTTATCTAAAATCAAATTCATTTTATTTGACAATGTTTACAAACAACCCCAGGACGATAACAATTACACTCTCAATACTAGCATCACACCTTCACAATTACACTAACCCCAACCATATCTGCCTGTTGGTCCCTAACTTTCCAGGGCTCCATAGCTTCTCTCAGTACAAAGGCTCTGCCATGGCTGGTGTGAGCCAGCTAGCAAACCTGCAGAAAACATCCCCAGAAAGAATTAACTGGGCCTTCAGTGATCTTTTGCAAGCTCAAGATTGGCTTCAGCTGGGAGTCATTGGGCTGATGTCTCTGATAACTGGTCAAGGTTACCCACTTAGTTTTAAATGAGAAAATATCCAGGGTCTGAAGAATCAAGTAAAACCACTCAAATTCAGTTTTTATGTTTACTAAGAGGGAAGGAAATTGTAGAACACTTCCATTTCTTACCTCAACAGGAAAAAAAAAAGTATCTATTTACTTAAGACATGTAATTCAATTCTTATTTCCAGTGTAACAAATCATTTAGTAAACAATTATGTCTGAACACTTCTAGGAGTTACCAAATCTCATGACATAAAATTTAGCATTAAACTCTGACATTCAGATGACAAAATACAGAACAGATTTTCCACTGTCATAAATTCTCCAATCTGAAAAAAAAGAAAAACATATTTTTATGAACGTTTGCAACTTACCAGTTTATCTACCACACTTTATAATGGGAATGTATTCATTTTTCTGCAGCTGTAATGAGAAAGATACGTTTCCTATTTCTTTTCCTGGGTAGCATTCTCAAAATTAAGCCCTGGGATTCTGTTCAAAATTACCCTAAAACAGACCAGACTTCAGAACCTTGCCACAATCACTCTATGAAAGAAAAAAGGTAAATTAAAATATTTAACAAATGGATTATAAGACTAGATACTTATTGATTTTCTTCTTTGCAATTTTTAACTAATTTATTTATGTTAAATTTCAACTTTTATTTTAGATTCAGGAAGCACATGTGCAGGTTTGTTACACAAATATATTGCATAATGCTGAGGTTTGGGGTTCAAATGATCCCATCACCCAAATAGTGAGCATAGTACCCAATGGGTAGTTTTTCAGCCCTTGACCCACTCCTTCCCTACACCCTCTAGGAGACTCCAAGGTTCATGTGTGTCCAATGCTTAGTTCCCTATTTTAAGTGAGAATAGGTGGGATTTGGTTTTCTGTTCCTCTGTTAATTCACTTAAAATAATGGCCTCCAGCTGCTTCCGTGGTGCACAAAGGACATGATTTTTTGTTCTTTTTTATGGCTGTGTAGTATTCCATGGTGTATAGGTACCACATTTTCTTTATCCAATCCACTGTGGATGGGAACCCACCTTGATTCCAATGTCTTTGCTATAGTGAATAGCACTGCAATAAACATGCATGTGCATGTGTCTTTTTGGTAGAATAATTTATTTTTCTTTGGGTATATACACAGTAAGGGATTACTGGATTGAATGGTAGCTCTATGTTAAGGTATTTGAGAAATCGAACTGTTTTCCACAACTGATGAACTAATTTACATCCCACCAACAGTGTATAAGCATTTCCTTTTCTCTGCAGTCTTGCCAGCATCTGTTGTTTTTTGACTTTTTACAAATAGCCATTCTAACTGTCCAAACACCATTTGTTGAAGCATCATTTCATCATTGCATAGTCTTGACAGTCTTGTCGGAGATCATATGGCCAGGCATGTGAAGGCTTATTTCCGGACTTCCTATTTCTATTTCTAGATTTATTTATATTCCATTTGTCTTTGTGTCTGTCTTTATGCCAATGCCATACAGTTTTGATTTGTAATATATAGCTTTGTAATATACTGTAAAATCAGAGTGTGAGGTGTGAGGCTTCTAGACCTTTGTCTTTCTCAAGATGGTGTTGGGTATTTGAGGTCCTTTGAGATCCCATATTTCCTGTATTTTCCAAAAATGCAACTAGAATTTTGATTGGGATTGGATTGAATATAGATTATTTGGAGTAGTATGGACAGTTTAACAATACTGAGTCTTTCAAATCATGGAAATGTGATACCTTTTTATTTATTTGTATCTTTTTTCATTTCTTCAACAAATGTCTTATAGTTTTCAGTGTACAAGTCTTTCACCCCTTACATTTATTCTTAAGTATTTCATTCATTTTGAGGCTAATGTAAATGGAATTGCTTAATTACATAGCTTTTTGTATTGTTCATTGTTAGTATAGAAATATGACTGACTTTTGAATATGATTTTTTTTTTTTCAGACAGAGTCTCACTCTGTCACCCAGGCTGGAGTACAGTGGCCCAATTTTGGCTCACTGCAACCTCTGCCTCCAGGGTTCAAACAATCTCCCTCTGCCTCCTGAGTAGCTGGGATTACAGGTGTGCACCACCGCACTTGGCTAATTTTTTTTTGTATTTTCAGAGAGACGAGGTTTCACCATGTTGGGCAGGCTGGTCTTGAACTCCTGACCTCAAGTGATCTGTCTCCCTTGGCTTACCAAAGTGCTAGGATTACAGGCATGAGCCACCAATTCCTACCTTGAGTGTGACTTTTCATCTTGCAACTTTGGCAAATTTGTTTATTAGATTTAACCGTTCTTTTGTGGAGTTTTTGGGGCTTTCTACATATAAGATCAAATAATCTATAAACATAGAAAATTTTAGTTCTTTCTTTCCAGTTGGATTCCTTTATTTCTTTTTCTTGCCTATGCTCTGATTAGGACTTCCAGTACTGTATTAAATAGAAGCAGTGAATATTAGCAACCTTGCCTTCCTCCTGATCTTAGAGGGAAAGCTTTTGTTTTTCCCCATTAATACAGTGCTATCTGTGGGTTCTAATATATATGACCTTTATTATGTTGAGAAAGTTTCCTTCTAGTGCTAAATTGTAGTGTATTTTTTAAATCATTAAGGGATGTTTATTTTGTCTGCAATTATCATGCATATTAGTTTGTTTTGTGTTGCTATAAAGGAATACGTGAGACTGAGTAATTTATAAAGAAAACAGGTTTATTTGGCTCACGGTTATGTAGGCCGTACAAGAAGCATTGCACTGGCATCTGCTTGGCTTCTGGTGAGGGCCTCAGGAAGCTTTTACATATGGCAAAAGGTAAGGGGAGCTGGCATGTCACATGGCCAGAGGAGGGGCAAGAAAAGGGTAGGGATGCCATGCTCTTTTTTTAAAAAAACAGTTCTCATATAAACTAGTAGAGTGAAAACTGCAAGAATTCACTCATTACTGCAGAAAGGGCACCAGCCATTCATGAGGGATCAGCCCCCATGACCCCAACACCACCCAGTAGGCCCCACCTGCAACACTGGGGATCACATTTTAACATGAGGTTTGGAGGGGACAAAATCATGTGATTTTTATCCCTTATTCTCTTATTGTGGTGTATTATATTCATTGATTTTCATATGTTGAACCATCCCTGCATCCCAATGATAAATTTGTCTTGGTCATAACATATGATCCTTTCAATATGCTACTGACTTCTATTTGCTAGACTTTTGTCGAGAAATCACGTGTATTTGTTTATTGGGTAATGTTGGCCTTTAATTTTCTTTCCTTGTAGTGTCTTTGTCTGGCTTTGGTACCAGAGAATAATGTTGGCTTCATAATATGAGTTTGGAAGTATTCTCTTTCCTTCAATTTTTTGAAATAATTCTTAAAGGATTGTCATTAACTCTTCTTTAAATGTCTGGTAAAATTTATCTGTGAAGTCATCTTGTCCTGATGACATTTTTTTAATGCATTGGAAAGTTTTTCTTTGCTGATTTAATTCCCTTATGTCTTGTAAGTCTGTTCAGATTTTCTGTTTCTTCAGTCTTTGTATTTTCATTCTTGATTCAGTTTTGGTACCTTGTATGCTTTTAAGAATTTATCCATGTATTCTAAGTTATTCATTTTGTTGACGTATAATTGTTTGCAGTATTCTCTTATAGTCATGTTTACATCTGTGGCTACAGCCTCTTCTTTCATTTCTGATTTTGTTTATTTGAGCTTCTCCCGCTTATTTCTGTAGGTAATCTTGCTTAAGATCATCCATTTTGATCTTTTCACTAAAAATTTTGATTTTTTTTTTTTTTTTTTTTTGAGGTGGACTCTCACTCTGTCATCCGGGCTGGAGTGCAGTGGCACAATCTCATCTCACTGCAACATCTGTCTCCCGGGTTCAAGTGATTCTCCTGCCTACAGCCTCCAGAGTAGCTGGGTATACAGGACACCGCACCAGGCTATTTTTGTGTGCTTGTGTGTATTTTTATTAGAGATAGGGTTCACTGTGTTCGCTAGGATAGTCTCGAACTCCTAACCTCAAATGATCCACCCTGCTCAGCCTCTCAAAGTGCTGGGATTATAGACGTGAGCCACTGGACTGGGCCCTGTTGATCTTTTCTATGATATGAGATATTTCTTCTTTTTTAAATGAAGGTGACTAGTATTGTGTATTTCCCTTATAGTTCTGATTTTGCGTCATTGCATGAGTTTTGATGTGCTGTGATTCCATTTTCATTTGTTTCAAGATATTTTCTAATTTCATTTGATTTCTTCCATTATTCATTTGTTTTTCAAAAGTGGGTTACATAATATTCACATAAATTTTCTAATTTTCCTACTGCTATTGACTTCTAGTTTTTTTCTCTTGTGATTGAAAAAGATATTTGTATTATTTTAGTTTTCTTAAATTTGTCATACCAGTTTTAGTGGCCTAAAATGTGATCTGTTCTGGCGAATGTTCTTTGTGTGCTTAAGAATAATGTGTATTCTGATGCTATTGCATAGATTATTCTGTGTGTGTGTATTACTTTCAAATGTTCTGTAGTGTTATTCAAGTCCTCTATTTCTTTTAAGATGGAGTCTCGCTCTGTCGCCCAGGCTGGAGTGCAGTGGTGCAATCTTGGCTCAATGCAACCTCCGCCTCCTGGGTTCAAGCGATTCGCCTGCCTCAGCCTCCCGAGTAGCTGGGATTACAGGCGCCCACCACCATGCCCTGCTAATTTTTGTATTATTAGTAGAGACAGAGTTTCACCGTGTTGGCCAGGCTGGTCTTGAACTCCTGACCTCAGGTGATCCACCTGCCTTGGCCTCCCAACGGGCTGGGATTACAGGCATGAGCCACGGTGCCTGGCCTGAAGTCCTCTATTTCTTACTGATCCTCTGTCTCATTATTTTGTCTTTTTTTTGGAAGTAAAGCATTGAGCTTTTCTACTATTATTGTGTTACTGTTTATTTTCCCCTTTAATTCTATGTTCATTTCATATATTTGGTGCTCTCATATTAAATGCATATATACTTAAAATTATTGTATCTTCCTGTAAATTGACCTTTTTATCATTATATAATATTCTTCATTGCATCTTGTGACAGTTTTTGTCTTAAAATTATTGTATCTTCCTGTAAATTGACCTTTTTATCATTACATAATATTCTTCATTGCCTCTTGTGACAGTTTTTGTCTTAAAGTCTATTTTATCTGTACCTATATCCACTGCTGCTCTCTTGTGGAAAATATTTCTCATTCTTTTACTTTAGGTTTCTGTGTGCCTTGGCAACTAAGGCAAGTCTTTTGTAAAAAGCATTTGGTTCTATATATCTTTAAATCTATACAGCCACTTTATGTCTCTTGATTAGGAAGCTTAAGATATTTAAAATTAAAGTAGTTACTTTAGCAAAATTCTTAAATTATTTTAAAAATAAAATGTTGTAGAATTAAATAATACTTAGTAATAAGTTACTTTATTATTATTATTATTATTTTGAGATGGAGTTTCACTCTTGTTGCCCAAGCTGGAGTACAATGGCACGATCTCAGCTCACTGCAACCTCTGCCTCCTGGGTTCAAGAGATTCTCCTGCCTCAGCTTCCTGAGTAGCTGAGATTATAGGTGTGCACCACCACACCCGGCTAATTTTTTGTATTAATAGTAGAAATGGGGTTTCACCATGTTGGCCAGGATGGTCTCGATCTCTTGACCTCATGATCACCCTGCCTCGGCCTCCCAAAGTGGGAATTACAGGAGTGAGCCACTGAGCCCGGCCTCCATCTCTCTTAGTTATTTTTTTTCTCACTTTATTTTGTGTATCTCACATCGGTATTTTCTTTATGATTAACAGGTTGCTTATATCAAACATTCATAGTTATGATGATCTATTTTCAGTTAATAACACATTAGCTTTTATTGTAGACAGTAACTCTACTTTTTTACATCTCCCCACCCTCACTTTGTGTTATTGATGTCACAAATTACATCTTGGTGTATTATGTATCCATTAACATCATTTTATAGTTATAGTTATTGGTATACTATTTTCTTTTACATTCTGTTCTAGAATTAAAAGTGCTTTATACATCACCATTTCAATATTGCCTACGTATCTATACATTTACCTTTACCAGCAAACTTTATATTGTTGTATGTTTTGTTTGCTATATAGCATTCTTTTGTTTTGACTGACAGGATAATTGGCAATGTATATTTTCATTATTTTAAATAAATCATTCCATTCTCTTTTGACATGTAAGGTTTCTTCTAAAAGTCCACTGATAATATAAGTTCCCTTGTACATGACAAGTTGTTTTTCTTTGCTGCTTTCAAGATCCTTTGTCTTTTATTTCAATAGGTTGATTATAACATGTCTCAATGTGGTCCTTTTTATGTTCATCCTAATTGGAGTAATTTGAGTTTCCTGAATTTGGATGTTCATTTTCTTCCTCAGTTAGGGGGAGTTTTTGGTCATTATTTCTTCAAATAAGCTCTCTTCCCCTTTCTCTTTTCTTCTACTGGATGTCCTATAATGCATATATTGGTCAGCTTGGTGGTGTCGTATATGTTTTAGGCATGCTTCACTTTATTTTTTCTCTTCTGATTTGGTAATGTCTAATGACCTGTTTTCTAGTTTACTGAAACTAGAAAACTATTTCTTCTGTTTACTCAAGTCTACATCTGTAGCCATGTAGTCAACTTCTATTATTTAGCTAGATAAATTCCTTTTTTATATATTTTCTTTCTTTTATCTCTTTTTTCTTTTCTATGCTCTTTTTATTTATGTATTATTTTCCTCATTTTATTTAATTTTCTATCTGTTCTTTTGTAGATCATGGACCTTCTTTAAGATTATTATTTTGAATTCTATGTAACACAATCAGTTGTTCTCTGTTTTGTTGGGGTTCATTGTTGGAGATTTATTTTATTTCTTTGATTGGGCTGTGTTTCTCTTTTCTCCTGTGTGTCTTCTGAATCTTTACTTATTTATTTGCTGAGTTTTATGTGTTTGAAAACAACTGCCACCTCTGCCAGTCTTTATAGACTAAGGGCTTTATGCAGGGAAGACCTTCAGTAATCAGCTTGAATAATATTTGGGGAGGCAGTACAACCTTTTGGGGGGATACAAATTCTCTGGGATTTAATGTGTAATTTCTCAGTTAGAGAGGTTTGCTGGTTTCCTTTTCAGGAACTCACAAATTTTTTTCACCCTCTGGTGCCTGTCGGTGGTACGTCAGGCTCTCTGGTGCTACAGTGTAAGGCATACCTCTCTCCTTTCTTCTCAGTGACTCTGAGGCTTATAAATTATGCAAGTTCTCCATCATTTTCCTAAATCAGGCAACACACATTTCAGTTCCTTGAGAAGCTATCAGAAAACCCAAAATTCTAGATGCATGCTTCATTTTCCTCCCTCCATTCTGTGAGAGAGGCCACGACTCCCTTAGGTTGTGCTGAGCTATACCGTATCTGTAACACTGTATATGTAGACATGTATCTGTAGACCTTCTGATCCGTAGCACTGTATCTGTAGACCGTCTGATGCTGCAACAAGCCACCCTTGCCCACCTTTGCTTTCAGCAGCCTGGAGACATTCAAACTATGTTGGTTCCATTAGTGCTTTGAGTCAGGCAAACAGAACCCTGTTCCTCAGGGTAGCCCTGTATAAAAGCTACAACATTGAATGCATATTTCACTATTCTCCACCCACTAGTCCAGAAGGTACAAACTGAGCTGAGCTGTGTGGGCTTGTGGAAGGGGTAATATTGTAGATAAAATTAAACAACTCTTCTCACCTATTTCAATGCAGCTATTCTGAGCTTTGTATTTGCCTGGCATACTGCAAATTCTTAACTGGTTCCTAGAATTCCCATAAAGATTTTTTTGGTCTGTACATTTTTGTTAATTTACTTTGTCTGTGAAGGAACCTGGGCTGGGACTTTTTATTCTCTCATCTTGCTGACATAGCTTCCCCTTGTTTCTGCTATTGAGTCCATCTGGTAAGTGTTTTTAGATATATATTTTAGTTTTTATATCTTTTTAATACTACAGCTTTTGATTTTTATTATTTTATTTATAGAGAATTCATATTTTCTATTTATGTCGAGTGTTCATATTTGTATATTTGAGCATTTTTGTAAGCTGCTTTATATTCTTTAATGAATTATTTCCATTTTTTAATTCATCATACTGATATTCACTGATTTTCTTTTCAAATTCAAGTTGAAATTGTCATGATTCCTTTTACGTTCTTCTATTTTGGATTGTATCCTTCACCCAGAGGTGAAGACTTTAGTTATTTTACTAAACGTGATATATAATACTGATATTTTACCTTAGTAGGCAATCAATTTGGGGCTGCACTTTATAACCTACCTTTTGTAGTCTATGGTTCCAAGGTTAATTTTTTAAAGATGCGAAAGAGCTATTTAGTTTTGTTTGGTGCTAACAACACACGGTGATCCATCTGAGATGTTGATGGATATCTACACTTTTTTTTTCAATTTACAAAGTCTTACATTTGCTAACTCAAATCAGATGCATGCATACACAGTATGAAGTTGTGCCCAGGAGTTCAAAGCCTTTCACCTGCTTCAAAAGTCTCTTTCCTCTCTGTGATTTTTCAGAAATTTTTCGGTTTCCAAACATTCCATCTTTTAGTCCTCTGGGCAAAAGCCACTCACTTTCACTATATCGCCATGTTAGGCATTATGCAGAAAGAAGACAAAGAGAAAGAAAGTAACAAGGGTTATCCCTTTCTGTTGCAACAGCTGATCAATCTTGAGATAATTCAGCTTCACTCATCAACATGATTTTGCCGCATTGAGAGAAATCCTGTGCCACAGGACCAAGAGGAGATTTCAGGTTTCTGATGACAGAAATGGAAGGATAAATGTTTTTGTTTTATGCTGTTGTATTTTGGGATGATTTGCAGCATAGTAATAGATAACAAATGCAATCTATGATTTTGAAATAATGCCAACATTGGAAATTATATATGAGATTATGTTACTTGAAATTCTGTGAGGACTTACTCACTGATTTTATTTTTGTTCAACAAAATTCCTGAGTCAGAGTTGGAGCTAACTTCATGCATTTGCCATCTGCCTAAAATGACCCTAAATATGCCTAGAATTCAGTGCCCAAGGAATAGCATTTCAAACTTCAGGATATACAGTGTTTGAGTGGGTTTTGGAAACCCACTCAAAACCCACATTATTATTAAATATAAAAAAAAGGGGATGTCACAAGCCATAGCCTAAAGTAGTGTTCAACTTGCTCACTAAAAACATAGGCAGCTCAAAATGCATAGAAATATTTACTACTTAATTTTAATGAACAACTCAATTACCTAACGCTTAAATTAAAAAAAAACCTTTTCATTGGCATTAATTTATATATAATATTAAACTTCCAAAGATAAATAAAATGTAGTAGGTGTATATATATATATTCAAAATACTTATTAATAAAAAATATTCATTATTAATTTGTAAACTGAAGGGTCCTGTATATTGCATTGAAAAGAAAACAAGAATAGTTTACTTGGTTCTGTGTAAACTAGGAAGTTCATCTTATTAGTATGATATATATAAACCGTAACACATTTGTGTCAATTTGCCTCTTGTGTCATATCTCTTTACTGTAATAATCACATGCAATCATGATCAGTTTTTCAAAGTAAACCATTCATGAAGAGTTAAATTGGAATGTCTTGGCCTTAAAAGAATCTAATTAACTATTACAAATGCCCAGAATGATTATCCTTTACTTCCTTGATTGAATCGCTTAAATAGTTGATGATTAATCAATGTGAATGTTTAGCTTGCCTATGCCTATCGACTTCAACCAAAGAATTAATGATTTTTGAAAAGAATAGACTGAAAGCATTTGAACCAACATTTGGTAACTAGTAACTAACTTGGTATTTTAAATTGAGAAAATTGATAAATTAAAATTACTTGCTTTCTGCTGTCCAGGTTAATCCAGAATGTAGTTTTAACTTTAACAGGGAAAGGAAGAGGCAAAAATGTAGGATAACAATTTTAACAAAAATGTCAAACATGGAAGCAGAATATAATACCTTAATAAATCATGACACTGATCAAAAAAACCTTTCAGAGGAGCTACTTAAAATGTAATAATTATAATGGATTTGCATATTTTATTTTAATTGCCTGATGGTCTTCTGCCTGGAATACCTTTTCTATCATTATTTAGATCTCTGTTGAAATGCTGTATTTTTAGAGAGAAAGTTCTATTTAAGTTACACTCTAGCCGTGATTCAACATATAATATGGTGCTACTACTATTTGAGTATATTAACTGCCTCTGTAAAGGACATGGGCTTCTAAATCAAGAAGTCAGGGGTTTAGTCAATTTTATTTATTATTCCATTCTAAATGCCTGGCAGATAATAAGTTTTCTGTAAATATTTGGGGCTATGTTTATTTTTTTTGAATATTTGTCTCTTCTGCTAAACTGGACTGTTCACTTGATTTGGCAGAGAGTGATAACTTCATCGTGTTCTCACTGCCTGGGTGTGCACCTCGCACCTAACAGGAACTTAATAAAAGTACGTCAACTGAATGAGCAAATGGCTATGCAAATGGATACATTTAATTATTCATTCTAACTCCTATAGACATGAATTTGAATTTTTGGGAGAGATAACAGTGAATGAAAACCTGAAAGATATGTTGCACTAAAAATCTCTGTGAATCATTAGAATCCTGGGGTCGCTGCTGGAGAATAATTAAACTACTGTGGATGGTCGCACACCATAAAGAAACAGAGGCACAGGGGAGCAGCTTCTGCACATTTCTGCATTGGCACTGTCTGCAGTTCTGTAGGCATTAACATAACAACGTAATGCAGCAGCTGCCAGCAGTAAAGATGTATGCTCCACAGTAAATATAACCACAGGGATGGGAGCCAGAATCGAAAGGAAAAATAAAAATAGAAAAATAGTGGATCCAGAATGTTGGTGCTGACCATGGTAATGGAGAGCACGTAAGAGATGCTCCCAGGCAGCAGTGTTGGAGAGTGGTGTTTGAGGAGCCGTATAAGTCCCCAATTCCAGGCATTTAAAAAAAAATTATATATATATATATATATATATATATAATTTGCTACTGTGCCAGTAAACATATATAATAAGTTTTTCCTAGGCAACTGATAGCAGAGTAAACACACGTTACATAGACATATTTGGAGAAGGCTATTTTCAAGGAGTTAAAGGTGCATAATATCTAATCTCTGTTGATATTCTGTGCATTTTAAGAGATATTGGAAAACAAAAATAAAGACATTCAATGAAAGAGCTCCTCCTTGAACAAAAATTCCTTTTATGAGGTCATAAGCAATTACTGTTCACCTAGGATCTATGAACAGTTTATTAATACATATATTGGTGATTCTCAGAAGGTATGCTAAAGGTTGCTCTGAATATTCACTTTTAATATAGAAATAGTACTTTAGTGATAGCAAACTAATAATGTAAGTTAAGGTATTTTCTGGTGATGCAGAGAGCACACTAATGTCACTGAGAGACTGGCAGAGGAAGGTGCAAAGACTTTTTGTAAAATGTATAATTAAAACTGAAACATGAAGGATGAGCAAGAGTTAGCCATAAAAAGAAAAAGCAGTTGAGGAAAATGTCCCAATATGTGTGATTATGTGCTGTAAGAATCAGAGATCACACAGTGTGTGGCATGAAAGAGGAAATGAAAGTTTTAAGCATTTCTGCATTTGTAGGCTGATCATATGTAGAACCAGAGGATTGAAAAAGGCCAGAACATAAAGGTTTATTTTAGGCATTAAAGCTTTATAAAAATTAGTTTTAATCCACTGTTACTCCCCACAAATAAATATTGCATGCTAGGTAATTAAACTGTTTTCCAGGAGAGAAAGTTATAAGTAGGAAAACTGATGGACATCTTTTTTTGTTTTTTTTTTTTTTATCTTGTGGTTTTTAATGTAATTCAAACTGTATCGGAAGTGCCTTGCTTCCAAAACCTTGAGTTTTTCTATCCCACTTACAGAAAATAATTTTGTATTTTCCTAGTTGTACTGCAGTTTATTATGATCTAGCATTATTTTTATTTTTTGTTTACCCTGAAATTTATGGCTAATCATTTCATAGTTTTTTTTAGAATCATCCTCAAAACCTTTGACACTGCCCTATCTTTGTAAATCCTTAAAAGCCCATATCCTGAAAGTCAACCTGTTGTCTCTTTTGTGATGCTATTTCCATCATGACTTAATGGTTTACCCCAAATCTCACAACCATACAAATAGTAGAGTCTTCAAACTATGTTTTCTAATTTCTGTTGGAGGCTCAATAAAGTTTCTTAAAGATTATACTTTTCTTTATCTTTTTACTCAAGTCATAATGTAATCATTGGATCGTGGTCAGGTATGTTGGCTATTATGCAAGCTCGTTTTTGATCTGGCAATGGTCTGCTACCTCAGCCTCACATTTCAATACTGAATTAACATTTCATGACTCTATAATCCAGAAACAGCAATCTGTTTGCGGTTTTGCAAACACACTATTCACACCTTTGCACATTTGTTCATAGTACCTATGAGTCAAATGTTTTCATGCTGTGTCTTAATCCATTGAGAACTCGAAATCATCAATTCAAATGTAATTCCATAATCGACTCTTCTAGGCAGCATTGGCTAAATATCTGCCAAGTACTCAATTAAACCAGCACTGAATCCCAGTTATACTTTCTTATTTCATTAGGTACATACCTCTATGAGAATCCTCAAAAGAATATTAAAATTGCTCAGTGTATTTTCTTAAAAAGTAATAAAGAATAGGAACCATGTTATACTACTTTTAAAATCCATAGAGCATAAAATAAGATGTGATACAAAGTCATTACAAATATTAAAATGAAATAAAATAGAAATCTTATATATATATTACCCAGCACTTTGAGAGGCCGAGGCAGGTGGATCACCTGAGGTGAGGAGTTAGAGACCACCCTGGCCAATATGGTGAAACCGCGTCTCTACTAAAAATACAAAAATTAGCTGGGCATAGTGGTGGCTGCCTGTAATCCCAGCTAATCGGGATGCTGAGGCAGGAGAATCACTTGAACCCGGGAGGCAGAGGTTGCAGTGAGCTGAGATTGCGCCATTGCACTCTAGCCTGGGCAACAAGAGTGAAATTCCATCTCAAAAACAAACAAAAACAGATAGTGCATCAAAAACAGACAATCATACAATGAACAAAATATGTAAAAATCAGTTTTCAGGACATTCAACTTTAAACAACAAAGAAAAGTAATACATCAGAGAAAAGGAAAAAAATGATAAAAAATTATTCCTATGATTACACCAGATCAGTGACCTGATAAGATTTGCAGACAATGGTGAATGAAGAAAGAGCCTAGAAGAAAATAAACTGACTTACTGAGTCTTGAAGAAAGATCTAAGACTACAGGGATACTGAGACTAGAGTTCATTAAAAAGATACATACAGATGAAAGAACTACAGATAAAACTTTGGAGTTGTTTAATGGGTTCTTGTTGAGCATTGAGCAGTGTACTGAAAATAGTAATACATATATGTGAGGAAACTAGCAGAAACCTCTGAAAGAATCATCTGAAAAGACTATGACTAAGAATGCCCAGTGCTTGAGGCTGACCAGGAATATTCTCACCAGCCACTAGAGAGCCTAAAGATTCATGGGATTTTGGGGAGAGTGTGTGAAAAATCTTGATCCAATAGTGAGGAATAATTAGTCCTACAATAAATATGGCTCAATGCCTGCCTAATAAATTATACAAGCAAGACCCCCAAAAGATACAACTTCTTGCAAGTAACTAAACTGTATCACACAAAATAGCCAAAAAATATTTTTAAAAGTACAAAAATTATCAGGTGTGACAAAAGAAGGCAAATATAAACTATAATGAGAAAAAAAATTAGCTAATGGAAATTGACAGACCAGACACAGATATTTGAATGAGCAGAAAATGACATGAAAACAGTTATTTTAACTGCATTCTATATGTTTAAAAAGTTAAGTAGAGACATGGAAAATACATAATTTTTAAAAAGATAATTACACATAAACCAATGAAAATCACAATATGTGAGATAAAAAATACACTGGGTGAGAGCAGCAGTTAATTAGATATCACAGAAGGAAAAATTAGTGAATTTGAAGTAAAAAAAATGAAACCTATCATAACTGAAAGACAAAGAGAAAAGAGAAAAAAACAAATGAAAGAAACACTGCTGAACCGTGGGACAACTTTAAGAAATACAAGGTAATTATAATTTGAGCTCCCGAGGGAGAGAAATGATGATAGGTTAAAGTAAAAGTATGTGAAATTATCAGGGGCCATATTTTTCTAAATTTGATGGGAAGTAGTAAACTATGTATTCAAGATGTATAATAAAACTTAAATACTAGAAACATGAAGAAATCTACAGCAAGGAACATTCCAATTAACTTGCTCCAAATTAGTAATAAAGAAAAACTATTGACAGCAGAGTAACAAACAACTGTTTCATGCAGTGAAACAAATATAAGATTGACAGCACATTTATTTGTTGGAAACAACATAAATGAAAAGACAAGAGTGTATACCTTTAACATACTGGAAGAAAAAAATCCACCTGGGACTTTATATGTACTTTTCAAAATGAAGTCAAAATAAATATCTGCAGAACAACAAAAGCTAAAATAATTCATCACAAAGAGAAACACATGAAAAAAATGTTAAAAGAAGTTCTTCAGAAAGTCGAAAAAAGTGATAGCAGAGTAAAATGTGGATCTATCCAAATCAATTAAAAGCACTGCATATGATACATACGAGAGTAAATATGAAAGATTATTTTCTGTTAGTTTAGATATTTTAAAAAATAACTGAATGCTCAGAGTAAAATTAAAAAGTACAATAGGGTTTATAATATTGAAAAGTAAAATGTATATTAATAGTATCACAAGGTCAAGAAAGAAGACACAAAATTTTTTTCCTACACTTCTAAAAATAGTTTTCTTTTTTTATATATATATATATTTTATTATACTTTAAGTTCTAGGGTACATGTGCACAACGTGCAGGTTCGTTACATATGTATACATGTGCCATGTTGGTGTGCTGCACCCATTAACTCGTCATTTACATTAGGTATATCTCCTAATGCTATCCCTCCCCCCTCCCCCCACCCCACAACAGGCCCCGGTGTGTGATGTTCCCCACCCTGTGTCCAAGTGTTCTCATTGTTCATTTCCCACCTATGAGTGAGAACTTGCGGTGTTTGATTTTTGTCCTTGCAATAGTTTGCTGAGAATGATGGTTTCCAGCTTCATCCATGTCCCTACAAAGGACATGCATGGTGTATATGTACCACATTTTCTTAATCCAGTCTATCATTGTTGGACATTTGGGTTGGTTCCAAGTATTTGCTATTGTGAGTAGTGCCTCAATAAACATACATGTGCATGTGTCTTTATAGCAGCATGATTTATATTCCTTTGGGTATATACCCAGTAATGGGATGGCTGGGTCAAATGGTATTTCTAGTTCTAGATCCCTGAGGAATTGCCACACTGTCTTCCACAAATGCAAGAGACATAGAATGACATACAGTAATTCGTAACATAAATATCTGATAGTATTACACTATTATCCCACTCTATCCACATACTTAATTATCAAAATATCAGCACATCTCCCAGCTTTCTTCAGGATTTATCCTGTCTTTGGCCAGAGCAAAATAAAAAAGTAGTTTCAATCAGATAATTAGAAAAAAATTAGCATGTAATTCTGTTTACTGTGAAATATAATTTGTGGTGTTCAAGTGCACATCATAAGGCTATTTTGCATATTCTTCAGTCTCTGACAACTGCTGACTTTCTGGTTGTCACATGTATGTGTTAAAATTATGTTCTCTTTTTTGTTTATACCAGTACCATGTTGTTTTAGTGATTATGGTCTTATAGTATAGTTTGAAGTCAGGTAATGTGATGGATGCCTCTAAATTGGTTATTTTTGCTTATCCTTGCTTTGGCTATGCAGGTTCTTTCTTCATTCCATATAAATTTAAGGATTTTTTTTCTAGTTCTGTTAAGAATAATGATGGTATTTTGATGGGAATTGCATTGAATTTGTAGATTGATTTTGACAGTATGGTCTTTTTCACAATGTTGATTCTACCCATCCATGAGCATGGGATGTATTTTCATTTGTTTTTGTCATTTATGATTTCTTTCAGCAGTGTTTTGTAGTTTACCTTGTAGAAGTCTTTTACCTTCTTGGTTAGGTATATCCCTAAGTATTTTATTTTATTTTTTGCAGCTATTGTAAAAGGGGTTAAGTTTTTTATTTGGTCCTCAGCTTGGTCGCTGTTGATGGATAAAAGCTCTACTGATTTGTGTACATAAATTTTGTATCCTGAAATTGCTGAATTCATTTATCAGTTCTAGGAGTTTTTTGGAGGAGTCTTTAGGGTTTTCTAGGTGTACCATCATATCATCAACAAACAGTGACAACCTGACTTCCTCTTTACCAATTCGGATGCCCTTTATCTCTTTTTCTGGTCTGGTTGCTTCTGCTAGGACTTCCACTACTATGTTGAGTAGAAGTGGTGAGAGTGGGCATCCTCATCTTGTTACAGTTCTCAGCAGGAATGCTTTCAGTGTTTTCCCATTCAGTATTATGTTGACTGTGGGTTTGTCATAGGTGGCTTTTATTACCTTATGGTATGTCCTTTGTATGCCAGTTTTGCTGAGGGTTTTAGTCACAAAGGGATACTGGATGTTTTCAAATGCTTTTTCTGCAGCTATTGAGATAATCGTGTGATTTTTGTTTTAAATTTTTTATGTGGTGTATCACATTTATTGACTTGAGCCTCGGTATGGTCCCATTCAGTTCTAATGTATCAGTGAACTGGGAACAGAAGTGAAGTGGACCTCTGAGGCATAAACAGTTCCCTAAGGTTTTCATATTTTTTTTCTACGTATGTATGGCAGGCAGGCAGAACTATAAGGATGGCCACCAAACACAGGAGCTCAGTTAAGAACATCCACATCAGTCTTCAAATGAGAAAAAAAAAAAACACTTTATCTGTTAAATCGAAGGAATTTGAGGATTGCATTTTAAACCAACTAGATATAATTGCACTGATTAATTCAGAATACAAGGGGATTACATGTTTATCATAAACTGTTCCAGAAATGAATAATATCCTATTCTATGTATGGTATTAAAACATTCCTGCAACTCTGGTATGAAATCTATGAGTATATACTTTAAAGACTGAAAATATATACTAAGAAATATATTTATAAGAATTATACTACAAAATTATTTATTTAGCTCTTAGCACATAGCAATGTTAAATTGGAAGATTATTGTAAGTGTAATTACTAGTAATCCAAATATTTAAGAAAAGCATAAAAATATAAAAACAACGTTAGAATTTTTGGAAGAATGAAAAATCATAAATGCTGGGCAATATTATTTAACTAATTTGAAAATTAGGGCAATATATCCTATAAAGGCAAGAATGCATATGTTTCTGTTTTCATCATATACTCTACTCAGCGCATTGTGTGTGACACACTGAAGTTACTCAATAAATATTTATCGTATTAATAAAAAATATAGCACCACAGTGGGTCAGAACTTTTCCCCTTATATTGTTTAATAATATAACTGAAATATCCAAAAATGTTCTAGAAAAGCAAAAAAAAAAAAACATAAGAAATGGCTATATATTAGTATAATATCAAGAGTGTTTATTCTGCATTATATTTTAAAATGTTATGAAAACTATGCCATAATAATAGGCAGAACTCTAGATTCTGCCACAGACACTATGGAATTGAGAGCCCACAACTATGTTTTTGTTGGTGAATGAAGAAATCTAAATTTTTTTTTTCTGTTAAGTAAAACTCAGTCCCACCTCAACTCTTATTCCAGGCTAGCCGTTTAAATCTAATTATAAATATGTGCCAAATAAGAAAAGCAGAATTTTGTGATAATTCACATTTTCCCTCCCTCAGAGGCCTTTTATTGTAATGGGCATGTTGTCTCATTAAGTGAAGCCAAAAGAAATAAAGCAAAACACAACACAAAAAGTAAAACTTATGAAAATGTTCTAGGTGACTCAGAAAAATAAGGAAATAGAAAATCCACCAAAAATAATTTGGAAAAACTTTCTTTAGAGTGCTATAATAATTTGATTCAGGGAAAATTTATAAAAGGCTAAATAAAGAGAATGAAAAAAGTACTAAAATGATAATTAATGAAAAAATAAATGTAATCTTTAATAAATGATAAACAAATAATGTTCATTATATGTATATGACAAAACAGTTTTTGTTGTAGCAGATATTCATACATCACCAAACACCATATAATATTATATATGATGCTTTCCTTTGTTCAGTAGCTCAGCAGGACAATATATTTTGCCAAAAAATAAGTCAATATTTCAATGAATAGGGGGACATGGCCTTTTTTTAACTTTTATTTTAGTTTCAGGGGTACATATGAAGGTCTATTATGTAGGTAAATTGCCTATCATGGGGATTTGGTATACAGATTATTTCATCACCTGGCTAATAAGCATCATATCCAATAGGTAGTTTTTTTTATCCTCTCCCTTCTCCCGTTTTTCACCTTCAAGTAGGCCCTGCTGTCTGTTGCTCCCCAATTTGTGTCCATGTGTTCTAGTGGTTTAGCACCCACCTACAAGTGAGAACATCATAACAGACATAATACAATCAAAGAGTTATTTTGTGAGAATTAGCAAAATATGACACAGAAAAATAAAATGAGTACCTGCTGTTGGAAAAATGACACCAATAGACTGTTCAATTCAGGGTTTCCACAAATCTTCAATTTGTAAAAAATGTAATATTTGGGAAGAGTGATAAAGTACAGATTGATCTGTCTGTAATCTATTATTATCTATCTGCCTTTATGATTTGTCAATGTTCTATCAACTGTGATGGTTTTTATTTATTTATTTCTTTTCTTAGCCCTTACTTTGGAGTCTACATTACATAGGGCTAAATAACAAAAAATTAAAAAAAAAAAAAGATCACCAGAGAGACCTTTAAGATATTGACTTTAAACTGGAGCTGGCATATTAGAAAAAGTCATTTATAAAGCAGGGATAATATTGGCTTTGTCGTCTTTGTTTCTTAAATTAAATTTACAGGAACTTGATTGTAGTGAAATCTACATGGGAACATAACTGTGGGTTTAGCGAAGTCCAACCTGTAGCTATGTGATTGCAGTAGACAGAGTTTGGATGTGAAAATGATATATGCAGGTAATTTTCTTATGACTTAGTAATTGGTCATGTCTCATGATGTTGAATAGAATTATTTCAAGATACATAGTGACTATTTGAAGAATCATGAATGTCTGGCCATGGAAAAAATGTCTCTGAACTTAGCTACTAATCATAGATTGAGTATTATCTGATGCATGCACAGCAGCATTCCATCTTTAAATAGAAATGGCATATACAAACTAGATCCAGACAAGCCTGAGAAGATGCAAATAAATTACATGAACAGGTGGCTCAGTCTACCATAATACCTACTCATACTGTTCTATCACATTTCCTTCACAACACTGATATGACTTCATGGGGTGTCCACTATGACTGTCAACAGAAGAAAAAAAAATATATGGCCCTGGTTTGCAGCTGAGTCTGTATGTTAAACTGGCATCATCCAGAATTAAATGGCTGCTGAAAAACAGCCTTACACAGGGTTTGTTTTGAAAACCAATGTTAAACAGTGAACTTCACAGTGGGCAGAACTTTGAGCAAAATATATGATTTCCATGGTTAGGAAGAATTTGTGACTGGAGGCACAAGTCTTGGGTAGTGACTTCTGGACAGTGCTAATGGATTCACTGGCTGGTTGAGGTTTGAGAATTCAAGATTAAAGGATTGGTGACTAGGATATCCAGAGAAGATTTTATGGATATATCTCTTGAAATAAACAGAAAATATATTCTTATAGATATGCTTATTAGAAGACATTCTTTACACAAATGCATCCCAACAAACAGATTGATAAGACACATCTTGCTGTAAATGTCATCTTTCTTCATTTATTCAAGTTTATCTAACAGGCACAAATACAATATATTCATAGATGTACAACTAAAAAGGCTTCATTAACTTAAAAATGTAATAGATATAGTCTTGTATGCCACCACAGCATAGCAAGCAAACCCAAATTTATGCCATATATAAGAAACACTGACCCCAGCTAGTAATAACCTCCTCTTTAAGCCTTCAGTTCACCAACCTGAGTAACCTAAATTTTCCTAGGGCCAGGTCACTTTAGGAAAACCATAGCTGTGTTCACTGAGTTAAGTATACCTTTTTGGATGCCAGAGTTTGCATACATGTTGAATCAAAAAGTATGGTAATGGGAAGTAAAAATTCTCAAACAACATGGCTTAATGCTGGTCATCGATAAGTTTACCTCCTCTACTTTTTAAAAAATACACTATTATTCAGAGAAGTTTCAGGTTCTCAGCAAAATGAGTGGAAGGTACAAAGATTTCCCATATACTTTCTGCCTCCACCCATGCATAGCCTCTCCCATTATCAATATGCTCCACCAGAGTAATATATTTACCACAACTGCTGAACCTACATTGACACATCAGTATCACCTGGAGTCCCTAGTTTATATTATGGTTCACCCTTGGGGTTGTATGTTCTGTGGGTTTGAATAAATGTTTATTCACATATCTGCCATTATAGTGTCATTTCAGTGTATTTTCCGTGTCCTAAAAATCCTCCGTGCTCTGCCTAGTCATTCCTCCCTCAACCCAACTCCTAGCAACCACCAATCATTTTATTGTCTCCATGTTTTTTTCTTTTCTAGAGTGTTCTATAAAATTACTTGAAATTCTACAGTTTGTAGCCTTTTCAGATTGACTTCTTTTATTTAATAACATGCATTTAAGTTTCCTTCATTTATTTTCATGGCATGATAGCTCATTTATTTTTAATGTTGGATAATATTCTGTCATCTATATGTATCACAGTTTATTAGCCCATTCACTTATTGAAGGAAATCTTGGTAACTTCTAAATTTTGGCAGTTATGAAAAAAAAAGCTGCTATGAATATCTGTGTGTAGGCTTTGGTGTTTTCAGTTTCTTCGGGTAATTTTAAGAAAGGTGATTACTAGATAATACAGTAAGAGTATGTTCAATTTTGTAAGAAACCGCAAAGCTATATTCCAAAGTAGCTGTGCCATTTTGTATTCCCTCCAGCAATGAATGAGTTCCTGTTGCTCCACATTGTCACCAGCATCTATTGTTGTCAGCTTGACATTTGGTGGTGTTTTGCTTGTCCTAGATTTTGGCCACTCTAACTGGTAGGTAGTGGTATCTCATTTTAATCTGCATTTTCGTGATGATACATGATGTACGGAATCTTTTCACATGCTTACTTCCCATCTGTATATCTCCTTTGGTGAGAAATCTGTTAAGGTATTTGGTCTACATTTGGTCATGTTTTTTCATATTTTTATTACTGAGTTTTAAGTGTTCTTTTTATATTTTGGATAACAGCTCTTTCTCTACTGTATCTTTCACAAATATTTCTCCCAGTGTATGGTGTGTCTTTTTATTTTCTGGACAATGTCTTTCACAATGCAGACATTTTTATTTGTTGCTTCAATGTTTAACTCATCAATTTGTTACTTCATGGATCGCACTTTGGTGTTGCACCTAAGAAGTCATTGAAAAACGCAAGTTAACTAGATTTTCTCCTATGTTGTCCTCTAAGTATTATATAATTTTATGTTTTACATGCAGGTCTGTGAGAAATTTTGAGTTAATTGCATGAAACATGTAAGGTCTGTGTCTAGATTCATTTGTTTACAACTGGACGTCCAGTTGTTCTAGCATGAATTTTTCTTTTTTTTTCTCTCTCTTTCTTCAACTTTTATTTTAAGTTCTGGGGTACATGTGTAGGTTTGTTACATAGGTAAACATGTGCCATGGTGGTTTTTGCTGCACAGATAAGCCCATCACCTAGGTATTAAGTTCGGCATCCATTAGCTATTCTTCCTGAGGCTCTTCCTCCCCCAGCTCCCACCTATAGACCACAGTGTGTGTTGTTCCCCACCATGTGTCCATGTATTCTCATCCTTCAACTTCCACTTATAAGTGAGAACATGCTGTTTTTGGGTCTCTGTTCCTGCGTTAATTTGCTGAGGATAACGGCTTGAAGCTCCATCCATGTCCCTGCAAAGGATATTATCTTGTTCCTTTTTATGGGTGCATAGTATTTTACGGTGTATATGTACCACATTTTCTTTATCCAGTCTATCACTGATGGGCATTTGGGTTGATTCCAAGTCTTTGCTATTGTGAATAGGGCTGAAAAGAACATATGCATGCATGTATCTTCATAATAGAATGATGTATATTCCTTTAGGTATATACACAGTAATGGAATTTCTACCATGAATTTTGAAAAGACTATCTTTTCTCCATTATATTGTCTTTTCTCCTTTGTCGAAGATAAGATGACTATATTTATGTGGGTCTATTTCTGCACTCTTTATCTTCTTCCAGTGATCTATTTGCCTATTTTACACCTATACCTCACTTTCTTAATTACTGTAGCTTTATAGTCAATCTTGAAGTCAGAGAGTTTTAGTCCTCTAACCTTGTTCTTCTTCAATACTGTTTTGGTTATCATAGGAATTTTTCATCACCATAAAAATTTTAGAATCAATCTGTTGAAATCCAAAATATACATGCTTGAATTTTTATTGGCATTGCATTGAGCCTGTAGATCAATTTGGGGGCAAAAATGACATTTTGAAAATATCATGTCTTCTCATCCATGAATGTAGAGTTTTCTCCATTTAATTCCACTTTTATGTCTTTCATGAGAGTTTTGTATTTTCCTCATATAAATCTTGTACATATTTTGTTAGATTTGTGTGTAAGCATTTCATATTTTAGGGTGTTAATATCAATGTTATAGTGTCTTTACTTTTAGTTTTCGCTTGTTCATTGCTGGCATATAGGACATATATTGACTTTTGTGTCTTAATATATCCTGCAACCATACAGTGATGACTTTTCTATTCTAGAAGTATTTTGTTCATTCATTTTAGTTTTCTGTATAAACAATCATGTCACCTATGAACAAAGGCAGTCTTGTTTATTTTTTCCCAATCTTTACACCTTTTATTTTATTTTCTTGCCTTATTGGATTAGCTAAGACTGCCAGTACAAGATTATAAAGAATTATTGAACTTACTGGGAATGTTTTTCGTGTCTAACCATTAAGTATATTATATGTAGGGTTTTATAAATATTCTTTACAATGTTGAGGAAGTTCCCCTCTATTCCTAGTTTACTGAGAGATTTTATCATGAATTGTTATTGAACTCTATCAATTATAATCATGTGATTTGTCTTGTTTGGCCTGTTGATGTGTTTAATTTTCAAATGTTGAACTAGCTCTGCATAAACAAATCTCACTTGGTCATGGTATCTAATTCTTTTTATATTAGTTGAATTCAATTTGCTAATATTTTGTTAATAAGTTTTGTATCTATCTTCATGAGTTATTTTGATCAATCGTTTTATTTTCTTATAACGTCTGTCTGGTTTGGATATTAGAGTGTCACTGGCCACATAAAATAAGCTAGGCAGTATCTCTCTGCTTCTGTCTTCTGAAAGAGACTGAAAAAAAGTGGTATCATTTCTTCTTTAAGTGTATGGTAGCATTACCAATAAACCCATCTGAGCCCGGTGCTTTCTGATTTGGAAGGTTATTATTTATTGGTTCCACCTCCATTTTTAGAGCCCAGCTTGTCCACAGCAGAGGCCATTGTGGAGCCCTATGAGAAGAATCACATTGTATCATGCTTTCATGGAAGGGGCAGCAATGTGTCTTCTAGCAGGTACTTACATTATGTGGATAAACATGTACCTTCACTGCTGAAAACATTTTTCCCAACACCATAAACTCTAGTACTAGAGATGAAAATTGAATTTTCACCTGTCCAATGATACAGAAGCTAGTAGTAATTTTTTATATTCATGGTAATGGGAATAAAACTTTCTTCAACTTATGGAAGAGACTAATTGTTGAACAAAAAAGCTAATGAATTGTTCTGTTTTTCTTCTACATAACACTCTAGATAAACTACCCTTTTGATCCATATAGACTGCATTAACTAGGCATGCTTGCTCTGTGACTTTTACTTACTTTTGCTTTTACTTAGATTGAACCAAGGGCAAACACCAGAAGAAAATAAAAATGAAGAGAAAAGTCAGTTATTTATATTTTTCCCTCTTTCTGTTTTTCCTTTTGTGTGTGTGTGTGTTATTTTTGTTTTGTCTCGTGTTGTTTTGCTACATCTTAAGCTGTAATGTGGCTACATTCCACGCTGGATGGCCACTCCATTTTAGAAGCCTAAGCTTATTATATGGAAAAGCTACATTGAGATACACCAATGCTAGCCTACTGCTGGTTTTACTAATCATCCCAATTCAGATGCCGGGCATGGAAACTGAGCTGCCTTGGCTCCTCTATACCAGCACACTTATTGGCTGAATATCGCCAAATTTAATGTGATATGGATCCAAGTAATTGCTCAACTGAGCTTTACTAAAATTCTTGACATAATATTTTTAAACTACTAAATTTCAGATCAGTTTGTTACACCACAATAAATAAGGAGCAGAAATTGGTAACAGAACTGGAGTGTTATAAAAATGCCAAAAAGATATAACACTTTTTATAATGGTGGCAGGTGGAAACTAAAAGGTCCTGAAAGAGAATGTTCACAACAGTTGTAGGGGCCTCAGTAAGGCTGTTGTTGAAGGCTTGAAGGAGAGTGAGAAAAATGGTCTTGGAGTCTGAAGAAAACAGAAACATTCTAATGTACTAGCAGAAGTTTGTCAAAACTATTTGCTGTTTGCTGTATAACATGGAAAATAGAAAAAATGATCTCATAAATGTTTGTATCTCACAGGGGATATTTCAGGCATTATCAAAGAAGTCCCCTAGTCTTCTAGCTTCTAATGATAAAATATGAGAAAGAATGAATTAAATAAGTATTGGTTTAATTTTTGAAAAAATATTAGAGAAAATACACCAGCAAGACTTGCTGGTTTTACAAATGCGACTGGTTCTCATATCCATTTTTTTGTTGCAAAAGACTTTTAAACTAAGAAATGGAATAAAGGTGGAGATCAAGTCCAAGGGGACACCAGTAAACATAGCCTCAGGGCTAAAATGTCAGCTGTGTGGCTGTAAGAGCCTTTGTGCAGACCCCAGAAGAATTCATGGGCCTATCCAATATGGCTTTTAAATCTCTTAAGGGCATTGTAAAATAGCACCCTGCCTCTCAGCTTCATGTAAAGATAATTGGTCTTGTTAAGTAATGTAAAAATTAATAATAAAATGAATTATAATTGAGTACATAGAAACCCAAAATATTTTTAAAGTAGGTATACTTGTTCAACTCAAAATATGAAATGAAAAGAGGCCTTTGGATATCCAAATTTCTGTAGGGAATAACAAACTGAAGAAGTTATTTGAAAACATTTTTTATTAAAAAGTTAGAATACTAGAATAGTACTCTATTGAAATACAGCAGACAGTAGGTCCAATAGCCACACAATTTACACCAAGGAAGCATGACTGGGCACTAGTCACTGATCATATTCTCAGCTGGATTCACTTCTGTGTACCTTCCTTCACAACCTCAGTTCCACTTTTTGACTGAGAGTGTCTATTGTTTGATATGGTTTGGCTGTGTCCCCACACAAATCTCATCTTCAATTGCCACGTATTGTGGGAGGAACCCAGTGGGAGGTAATCAAGTCATAGTGGCAGGTCTTTCCTGTGCTGTTCTTGTGAGAATGAATAAGTCTCATGAGATCTGATGGTAATATAAGGGGGAGTTTCCCTGCACAAGCTCTCTATTTGCCTTCTGCCATCCACATAAGATGTGACTTGCTCCTCCTTACCTTCCACCATGACTGTGAGGTCTCCCTAGCCACGTGGAACTGTAAGTCCAATAAACCTCTTTCTTCTGTAAATTGCCCAGTCTTGGGTAGGTGTTTATTAGCAGCCTGAAAATTAACTACTACAATAAATTGGTACCAGTAGAGTGGCACACTGCTAAGAAATATACCTGAAAACATGGAAATGACTTTGGAATTGGGTAATAGGCAGCGGTTGAAATACTTTGGAGGGCTCAAAAGAAGATAGGAAAATGTGGGAAAGTTTAGAACTTCCTAGAGACTTGTTGAATGGCTTTACCCAAACTGCTGATAGTGATATGAACACTGAAGTCCAGGTTGAGGTGGTCTCAGATGGAAATGAGGAACTTGCTGGGAACTGGGGCAAAGATGGCTCTTGTTATGTTTTAGCAAAGAGACTGGGAGGAATTTTGCCGCTGCCCTAGAGATTTGTGGAACTTTGGACTTGAGAGACATGATTTAGAGTATCTGGCAGAAGAAATTTCTAAGCAGCAAAGCATTCATGATGTGACTTGCGTGCTGTTAAAGGCATTCAGCTTTAAAGGGGAAACAAAGCATAAAAGTTCAGGAATTTGCTGCCTGACAGTGCGATAGAGAAGAAAATCTTATTTTCTGAGAAGGAATTCAAGCAGAATGCAGAAATTTGCATAAGTAATGAGAAGCCAGATGTTAATCCCCACGACAATGGAGAAAATGTCTCCAGGACACATCAGAAGTCCTCAAGGTAGCCTCTCCCATCACTAGGCCTGGAGGTCTAGGAGGAAAATGTGGTTTTGTGAGCTGGGCCCAGGGTCTCTGTGCTGTGTGCAGCTTAGGGGTTTGGTGCCCTGTGTCCCAGCATCTCCAGCCATGCCTGAAAAGGGCCAATGTAGAGCTCAGGCTGTGGCTTCAGAGAGTGCAAGCCCCCAAACCTTGGCAGCTTCCACATGGTGTTGAGCCTACGAGTGCACAGACATCAAGGATTGAGGTTTGGGTACCTCCGCCTAGATTTCAGAGGATGTATGGAAACACCTGGATGCCTATGCAGAAGTTTGCTTCAGGAGTGGGGTCCTCATGAAAAACCTCTGCTAGGTCAGTGCTGAAGGGAAACATGGAGTGGAAGACCCCACACAGGGTCCCTATTGGGGAACTACCTGGTGGAGCTGTGAGAAGAGGGCCACTAGCCTCCAGAATCCAGAATGGTACATCCACTAACAGCTTGCACCATTCACCTGGAAAAGCCACAGACTCTCAATATCAGCCTGTGAAGGCAGCCAGGAGGGAGACCGTACCCTGAAAAGGCAGAGGGAGGAGCTGCCCAAGGCTATGCGAAGCCACCTCTTGCATCAGCATGACCTGGATGTGAGACATGGCGTCGAAGGAGATCATTTTGGAGCTTTAAGACTTGACTGCCCTGCTGGATTTCAGACTGGCACGGGGCCTGTAGCCCCTTTGTTTTGGCTAATGTCTCTCTTTTGGAATGGCTGTATTTACCCAATGCCTGTACCCCCATTGTATCTAGAAAGTAACTAACTTGCTTTTGATTTTACAGGCTCATAAGTGGAAGGGACTTGCTTTGTCTCGGATGAGACTTTGGACTGTGAACTTTTGAGTTAATTCAGAAATGAGTTGGGACTTTGGGGGACTGTTGGGAAGGCATGACTGGTTTTGAGATGTGAAGATATGAGATTTGGAACGGGCCAGGGGAGGAATGATATGTTTTGACTGTGTCCCCACCCAAATCTCATCTGGACTTCCCATGTGTTATGGGAAGGAACACAGTGAGAGGTAATTGAATCATGGGGGCAGGTCTTTCCCGGGCTCTTCTTGTGAGAGTGAATAAGTCTCATGAGATCTGATGGTAATATAAGGGAGTTTCCCTGCACAAGCACTCTCTCTTTGCCTGCCACCATCCACGTAAGATGTGACTTGCTCCTCCTTGCCTTCTGCCATGATTGTGAGGTCTCCCTAGCCAAGTGGAACTGTAAGTCCAGTAAACCCCTTTCTTTTGTAAATTGCCCAATCTCAGGTATGTCTTTATCAGCAGCATGAAAACAGACTAGTATGGTGTTATATATTGTCTCTATCTCAACATTGTATATTGAATCTTTCAGTCAAAGATAATCTGTTGTTAAGTTTGCAAAATATGAGATTTGTAGAAATTGTGATTAAGAAATTATATCCAAGGAAACTTATGTGCACATTAACAAGACCAGGAGCTCCATAACATTTGAGATGCTATTATAATGAAATGAGACTTTTGGGGGTTTCTGTAAGGGATGAGTGTACTTTGCACATGGAAGGGATAAAAATCTCTGGGGCTGAGAAGGCCGACTGAGATAGACAGTCTATAATGGTCCCCAATGAACCACATCTTTTCATATTCACTTAGACTATCCTTATGTTGCCAAAGGAATGTCGTAAAAATGGAAGAATGCAGCCTGAATTTAGGCTACATGAACTGTTGCAGATTTCATGTAGATCTCTTGGAACATTTTAAACTGCCATATAAGAAGTGTAAATACCCTGAGAAAGCCTATTCCATGAGGAAGCCAAAATTTGTCATACAGAAAGAACATGTAAAGGGAAAGAGAGATTTTGTCCAACCTCCATTGTCTCAGTCATTCCTAGCACAAGTGAGAGGCTAATAAGTTAAGCTGTCTTGAATTTCCCAGTCAAGGTGAGTGACCAGCTAAATGGCAGCAAGTGAATCATGTTTGCAGATGAAGGGCCCAACTCAACTCCTGAAACACTGTTCCACAAATTCCAGAGCAAAATTAAATGGTTTCTCTTGGCTACTAAGCTTTGCATAATTTATATGATAATACATCATACTACATTATTGAATGTCATATGACACAAAACAATTAAAGAAAACTGTAATTCCATGGCTGCTATTATTTAAATGCATTCTTCTCAAAATAAAAATCTGTATCACATGAATTCATATGTTGATACAATGCTTGATTATTTGAGTCATTATGCTTTTAAATAATTTTTAAATCCTTAGTTTTCACCACTAATATAAAGGTAAACATGAAAAGAACTGTGATTTTAATATTTAAAAGTTCCAAAGGCATAAAAAACAGATATAATTAAACTGTATAAAAGGTTCATAAACAATGGTTTATATCTGCTGTATCATGACACCCCTCAGAGAAACAGCTTTACATATATTTTATTTTTTGTCATCATAAAACATGAACCAATTTAATAAATGATATATATCTCATGTGGTCAGACTCAAACCATACTCTTAGTGTGAAATGCACAATTCATGAAGTTGGCTGGTACAACCAGTCCTATCTCAGGAAAATGTCCACAGGTTGACAAGTTAACTATTTTCCTGACTGATGGCCCTTCCGTGGAGAAATGAGTGACAGAAGAATAGATTAAACAACAACACATTTTATTACCTACAGTGCCTTCAAACAAAGTCAGATGTCAAAACAAATTCACGTCCATAATAGAAGCTCAATCTGTCTTGAGCATACAGTCAGAGATTAAACCTTGTAAACTACCTGCATTTCCTACAGCATGACTTTATAGCTATTTTTCATTATAAACACTTTAAAATGCATTCCCAGACTGTCCCCCAAGATCAAGATAAGTAATTAATATTCACTTTAATTATGATTTACATCATTTTTATGCTCATTATAATGTCAGTAATGTCAGGTAGATTACTATTGCCACGGCAACCTGCAGTGCTATGGATGTGACCTAAAGTCAATACTAATTAGGCCTTTGCTCCAGGTTACATCAATATAATAGACAAATGAGTGTAAAATATGGCACAGTTCTACCTTTGTTTTAAATAATTTTCTGGTCATCTACAAAATTTATCCAAAT
Organism: Homo sapiens; assembly: GCF_000001405.40. Lineage (NCBI taxonomy): Eukaryota > Metazoa > Chordata > Mammalia > Primates > Hominidae > Homo > Homo sapiens. Next base: position 86,692,062 of record NC_000013.11, on the reverse strand, counting down.
TAAAATCTCATAAGACTATCCCTACTTTTAAATCAGGAATATATATCTTTTCCACTTAAATAAAAACTCTTTCTAGATTATCCCACATTCACTTATTTCTCAGTTTCTTTCCATGGATCAATGCATAACATATACCTGAAGAAAAAGAGCTTTAATTATTTAATTTATACATTAAAAAGTGTAAATTTATAAGAAAAATGCACATTTCTTACTTATAAGACAATGTTATTGATAAACTTCACATGATAAAATTTCATTAAACATAAAAAGTGGAAATACTCAAATTCTGTAAAAGAAGAAATGGCTTCAAGTTGCATGTTCAAAATTTTTTTTTTTTCATTTTATGCTGGGATGAAAGCTGAGCATTGGAAAATAATTGTTGCTACAAGTGATATGATATACTACAATTTCTCATACTTATACAATATAATAAGTAGATTCATACTAAAGAGTAAAAACTGCTTTCATTAAAAATGTTGGTGTGTATGTCATATTTTATAACAAAAGTATTAAGGTTAAAGTATTGAATTTATTGTGATTTCGTTACTTTAATACATAAAGAACATTTGATTTCAATATCTTAATGATTAGAAAATTTTTAAAGCATACACATTAAATGTATTTATCAGTTCTAATAATAATTTTGTTTATAATATTCCTGCTATTTAAGCACATATTTAATTTTTAGCTGCAATCAATTTCCTGCAAAAGATTGTAATTTTCAAAGGGTCATAATGCAGTAAGTCTAGGAAACTCTGTCTTAACAGTAATATTGGTTTTAATAAAGTAGGCAAAATGCAAGCAACATACCAAGCGTAATCGATAAAGCTCTAAAATATATTCATATAGCTACACATAAGTCATTAAAATTCTTCTATATGATGATAGCCCATTTAGATAATACAATCATTGGCTTTACAGAGTATATTTTAAATGTTTTAAAAAGAAAATTTTTATGATTTTAGTCTTCTGTAGGTATAAAGCAGTGGTTGAAACCTTATTGTGCATACTAATACACATGATATTCAAATAAATCATAAAACTACAAGAGAACATATATATGCTAAATATTTTGGAGTGTTTTAAATTGTAATGGGTATTACAATCTATCTCTATAGGAGAGATTAATATTTAACTAACAGTCATAGGTTAAAAAGGGGGAGGAAATTAACCCAACCTAGTGTTATGCTCAGATATATACATGTAGACATATACACAGACTATTTTACACATATAGTGTAAATATTTATATGTGTATGTAGTGTATTTTATATGTGTGTGTGTGTGTGTGTGTGTGTCATTGTGTGCGTGTCATTGTGTGCATATATACGCATAAACACAATATGGTGCTTTAGTACCAGAATGTTTAGGTTTAAACTTCAGCCTCACCCTTTTGGATTGTTAATGCATCAGGCTATTTACATACATTTTCCCACTTCGTGTCTAAACTGAGGATAATTATAGTACCTGTTATACAACTAAGGTAAATATATATGTATGTATCACACTTAGAATAATAAATGATGCTTGTAAGTACTACATTAGGCTGGGTCCAAAAGAACACCAAGGATTAATTAATAATAAAGTAAAATAAATAAACAAGTCAGGAGTGTGTTTAATTTGTTTAATTCAAGATTGTTTTTCATTAACCCTTTCAACAGCAGAGTACTAGCTCAACTCTGTATTTTGATGAATGTTTTTCTTGATGCTGTTTTGGAATAAATATCAGTTGTTGACATTATCTCTGTTGCATATAGATGAGTAGAAGTTGAAAATGAATATCAGGCCACAAAATAACTATCACATCACATCCTGATGGATGATTGTTTATAAGGTTTCAACACTCCTGAGTCAGGACCAGCATTAAATATTCAAAGACCTCTAAGCACTAAATTAAGATTAATTAATCAAAACTCGCCATGAGAAACTGTGGCATTCAGATGTGCTCTCTGCTTGAGCCCAGGCTGGACAATCTGTTCACCTCAAATCAGTTTCTGAAACATTGCCACTTAAATCTCTGCCCTTCTGTATTCTCAACTTTCATCAATATTTACTACTTCTTTGAACTCATTGAAACAATTAAGGAAAAAAAGAGTCAGATTGTCGCTAAAAGAGGCTACTGAATTGAGGGAATCATTACACAAAATGAATAGTTTATAAATTTTAAAATAATTTTGTCAATCTTTCAAGTTCATTTTCTCCTAAAGCAATATAGCTATGCTAATATTGTAAAATGTACATAGCATCACTAGTAGTGCTAGCACTTGCCTGTTGAGTTACTATGTTGAATAATATTATGTGAAGTTTGTTTTATGCCCAAATGGAATTTGAAAGTTTCCTCTGCTAATTTGTCTAGTTCATAACATTTGTTTGCATGATTTTAAATTTTATTTGGATCCCATACAAGTTTATGATGTGTCAAGTGGCAGCTGTGTCTCTGAGGGGTGCCATGATATGCCAGATAAGAATCACTCCTCTAGAATATAAACAATTCCATGGCAAAGCAATCATGTTCATAATCAAAATGTCATATATATATATATATATATATATATATATATATATATATATATAAATTGTGAAAGAGTTGTTATATTTTTTTATTAGTTTCATTTCAGTTTTATTAAGTATACTTCATTTTTGAAACTTAAAAGTTACATGACATGCTCTTATAAAAGAAGCTGTGAAAAATAATACTTTTTAAATAACTTTTTAAATCCCTAAGAAAATATACAGAATATAGACTAAATATTTTTGAAATTTGATTATGAAAATATAATTATTGATTATATGTAAGTGTGTTTGATTCAAACTCTTATTTAAAAAGCAACAATTCCATATGAGCAGAACTTGAAGATTAGTATATACCTTGCAGAAAAAATGTTGAAAACATGATTTTCACATTCATATTTTGTCAGTGACTTCTCTTCTGAAATTACAAGCAAATATTCTAACATTTTTGTGATTTAAAACGAACTCTTATCATTTCTGTTGGTATTATCTGCAAAGTAAAGTAATATTTCTTACTGCATTTCACAGAAATAAAACATAAAATATCTACTCAACATTTTCAACTTTTGAAAATCCAAATTACCACCTGCAAAATCCAGTAATAAAGTATAAAATGGTGTAAATGGCTTTGTATGTCCTGATTTAGTGGTAGATTGCCTTTAACTTCAAGAATAATGTAAATATTTATGTAATTCAGGAACATTGATATAAAATAACTGGTACTAAGTACAAATATATATTCTGGGTTTTGTGCATTTGCTAACCTATTATAATAGTTTTGCATATTCTTCTTTGATACCATCATCTTTGATGGTATTCTGTAGTGTCACCTTGCTTTTCTTCTAAGTTTTTCCACACTTTAAAAGTAGATTTATGAAAATAATCTACTACTTTGTACATAGCATAAATCTCATCAGCTTCTAAAGAGTTTAAAATAGATATCAATATCCTTAGTGTTTTCTCCTAAGGAATTCTATTATGCTCTAGCTTATGACTGCTTCTTCAAACTATACTCTTCACAACCTCATACCCATTTATTATGGCAAGTAATACGCTATCAATTTTGAGATCCTTATGCCTCTCCATATCAACCACGCTGTTTTAACGTCTTTGTACTTAAAATTCTTCTCCCTTCTTCACAAATTCCCACATACACTCTGTATGCTTTGGATACTTCCAATATATTTCACACTTAAAGTTAGATGTGCCCCTTTTAGAAAAATATCATTTCCCAAAGTTCATACAGTTTTGCTGAACCATAATTGCTTTTGCAATTTTAATTTCAGTGAATTAAAAAATAATGTACGGGATGAAAATATCAGCACAATATCTACATCATTGGGTATGTATAATTTATGTGATGTAATTTTAAATTTGACTGGCATATTTTTAAGAGTTCAATATATGTTACCTATTCTCATTTCATTATTCATGTTTATTTTCATGTATTAACTTATATTAACTTGCAGCTACAAGAAAAAATAATTCTGTGATCTTTTAAGAGAAACTTACGGGGAGAGAACACTTGTCATTTAGTAAAGCACTTTTATAAATCAATTGAAATAAAAAGAGAGTTCATGAGAGAAAGTAATTTCCTGAGGAGACAGGCAATACAAGATAGCTAATGCCCTCTGCCTTAAAAAAGAAAAGGAATTTAGAAGCAGCTTAGAGTGAAGAGGAGAGTGGTGAATTGGCTGAGAACCATGGCAAACTGACTGCAGTACTTTTGAGAAATGGAATGTCTGAAACTGAAAATTAAATTATTTGTTTTGTTGCTATTCAAATCCCCTGTGACTCACCTCAAAAATGAACTTATGGGTTTGTGCAATACGCAGGGACAGGTAGTTGATTTTTGTCTTTTTTGGTTTGTTTATTTTGTTGGATTTGTCTATATTAATTATGAAAAGGGGCCAAGATCCAACTTCTACTCTATGCCAGATCAGAAATAAAGGCAAAGCTGTGGGTTGGAGAATATACATTCAGACAGGAGGGGAAAAAAAGAGCTAGAGAGACCATGACATAACCTAAACCTTCCAGTATTTGGAGAAATAGTGGACAAAACATGAATAGGGTTGCTTTAAATTATATTTAGATTTCAATTGTCAGAGAAACCTCAGCTTAAATCTGGATTACGTTTACATCTACCAAAAGGACCATAAGAATGTTTTACATGTCTGCCTCTTCTATTTAACTGTTTGGTTTTGAAGAAAGAGCTGTGAACCTTTTTATACCTATATCATTAATAACTAACATAGAATCTGGTGCAGGTGTTCACCCACAAATATGTGTTTTGAATTTAATCTATTCACTGTCAAACTCAGGAAAAATGATGTGACCGTAGACTCATAACAAGTTTTTGTTTTTTACTATGATTCTCTTCATAAATTCACTGCCAACTTTTTGTCCCTGCCAAATCCTGTTTATATTGAGACATTGCTGATACATAGCAAAGTTTGTTTTCAGCGTTATGTTTTTGTTCATAGATGGCATCATTTATAAAAGCATAGCATCCTTTTTCTTTGTAATCAGGTAAGTTTAGCTGCTAAAATGTATGCTGAGAAGGCAGTACAGAAAAACAAATTTCATAGAATTTGACATATAAATTTCTTTGTAATAAAATGATAATTCATAATGAATTTTAATATTTCCTCTATAGACTTAGGAATGTATATTCTCACCTACTAATTTAAAAATGAGAGATTTTTTGAAAAGAAAATTATTTCATAAATTCTCAACAATATGTGCTATGTGGGTAATCAAATTCATAACTATAAAAATGCAGTAATCTGAATGTGTAAACATTTATATTGTTGGGGTTTTATAATTTTTGCCATGATTTATATAGTTTTGTCACAGTACTTATTCCTGTTTTGGAAAAATGGTTGATTCTAAAATATAAAAATTCATGTGATTTATGCTACTTTGCAAATAATTTTTGCTATGGAAAGAAGAATATTAGTGTCACAGTTCCTTCTCCCAAAGCCCAATGGCATACATAATGACCCTATACATTTGGTAGCAATTTCTTATTTCCTGGTTTTGATTTTCCTTGATTTTAAATTCATAAATTTATATTATTAAACGTAACAATATGCAGTCTCCCATCTTTGGGTGTATCCATATTGAGTTATCTTCTCTATTGCATGGAAATCTCTTCATTGGTGATCACCCTTCCAAGAAGCCTCCTGCCCTCTTCTTCAATCACTGAAGTCTCATTTAAAGGCTTTCTGCCAAAGCATCATTCTGGGACTTCTTTTCATTATTTTTCTTGGTTAGAACTACACTCCTCAGTATTCTGGGTTTTTTTCCCCCAATTTTTCTCTATTATTTGGCTAGAATATATCCCCATATAAATTCATTTAAAGGAAGAATGGAATATCAAAAACACATAATAGTAGGAAATTTATTGGTACGTTCATTTATATATTAAAAATAATTTCTCTCTGAATTATTTCCTCTAACACTTGGTGTGCCTGACAGAAAATCTGTTGTCAGGTTGATAGTTGCACTTAGGTAACTCAACTGTTTTATAATTAATTTTTTAAATATTAAACTTATTGCTCATTCAATTTTAGATTTACAAAAAATTGTGAAGCTACTATAGAGTTCCCACATACCACACACTCAGTTTCTCCTATCATTAACCTATTACATTAGTATGATGTATTTGTGATATTTCATGTACCCACAGTGATACATAGTTATTAATTTCATTAATTATACCTAATGTCCTTATTCTGTTCCAAGATCCAATACAAGATATCACATTTTGTTTGGTTGTCATGTCTCCTTAGGCCTCTCTTGGCTATGATAGTTTTTTCATACTTTCATTGTTTTTGATAACATAGAGAGTGTTGAGGAGTGTTGGTTAGGGATTTACAGAATGTCCCTCAATTAGGATTTTTCAGGTGTTTTTCTTATGACTGGACTAGGGTTGTGGAATTTTGAGAGGAAGACCACAAAGATAAAGTGCCATTATCTTTCATTTATATCAAGGGTCCATACTATCAACATGATTTGTGACTGCTGAGGTTGAACCATGGTTGAGGACTGTCAAGTTTCTCAACTGTAAAATTATTTTTTTCTTATTTCCCTACTGTGATTTTTATTAAGAAGTCAAGATGTGCAGCCCACACTTAAGAAGTCAGTAGTTGTGTTCCACCTTTTTTGAAGGCCAAATATCCACATAAATGATTTGGAATGTTTCTGCTTAGAATATCTTTGTGTTCCCCTTTATTTATTTGTTTATTCAATCATTTGTATATAACATTATATCAGTATAAACTTATGAATGTTTGTTTTCTATGTTGAGTTGCAATCAATACTAGTTTGTTGCTCAACTTATTTCAACTTTGGCCTTTGGGAATTCTGTCAGTTAACTCTTTTGTACCTTTGAAACACTCCAATCTTTTTTTTTTTTTTTTTTGTACCCTTTTTACTTACTAGCACTAGAAGATGCTATAGCATCATTTTGTGTATATTTCCTGCTCTAGTTCGGGAGCCAGACACAAGCTTTTATTTGGGAGTTAAAATTTATGAGTGGAGATGTGTGTTTCTCTAGAAGCTTTAATATTCTTTAATTTTGTCACACTGTATTTTAGGGTGTCTTTTTCAAATTCATATACTAATAATACAAAGCATTTTATTCTGAAGGCTTATGTCAGTTTTTATCTTTAGAAGTCTTTTGTTTTTCCTTGACAATTATCTTATTTGACTCTTCCTTATTATCGTATCCTTTTTCATGCTTTTTATGAATGCATATTTTCTTCCTTTAACAATTCATTTTTATTCTCCTTGATTATTTTTGTTTTAATCTAACTGTTTAAATTGATCTCTCTACTTCATTCTATTAGCTTTTTCTTGTTTGTTTTTTGAGTCAGATTGAAGGAAAAAAGACTTGGTTTATTTGACTAGCTGCTGTGGTTTTCCTTGGCTGCTATGTAAGTAGGTCTGCTTCCTGAATGGACTCCTCTCATGAATGGGAAGTTGGAGCTCCTTTTTTCTGAGATTGTAATTGAGAGCTCTTTAGAGTGCAATTTAGGAGTATTATTGTCTTATCTTATGTGGATATTACAATAAGCAAGTACTGTACCTGGAGAAACAAATGCTGACTTTTCATGCCCTGCTTTTTGTGGTTTAATTCTAACCAAAAGTTTAATTACTTCTGCTAGCAACTCTATAAGCTGAAATGGAAATGAATATTTTAATAAGTGACTGGAATGCTCTACTGTTGACTGCCTTTCAAGTAAATTCCCAATACTTTTTACTTCAGAGATCTTAGAGGTTAACTTTGATAGGAAGATCTTTATGATTCTCTTGAGACAAATGACTTTCACCTTTATGAAGAGTCCTTATGTGATAATACTGTATTGCAGCCTCTTTCTTTTTTTTTATTTTATTATTATTATACTTTAAGTTTTAGGGTACATGTGCACAATGTGCAGGTTAGTTACATATGTATACATGTGCCATGCTGGTGTGCTGCACCCATTAACTCGTCATTTAGCATTAGGTATATCTCCTAAAGCTATCCCTCCCCACTCCCCCCACCCCACAACAGTCCCCAGAGTGTGATGTTCCCCTTCCTGTGTCCATGTGATCTCATTGTTCAATTCCCACCTATGAGTGAGAATATGCGGTGTTTGTTTTTTTGTTCTTGTGATAGTTTACTGAGAATGATGATTTCCAATTTTATTCATGTCCCTGCAAAGGACATGAACTCATCATTTTTTATGGCTGCATAGTATTCCATGGTGTATATGTGCCACATTTTCTTAATCCAGTCCATCATTGTTGGACATTTGGGTTGGTTCCAAGTCTTTGCTATTGTGAATAGTGCCGCAATAAAAATACATGTGCATGTGTCTTTATAGCAGCATGATTTACAGTCCTTTGGGTATATACCCAGTAATGGGATGGCTGGGTCAAATGGTATTTCTAGTTCTAGATCCCTGAGGAATCGCCACACTGACTTCCACAAGGGTTGAACTAGTTTACAGTCCCACCAACAGTGTAAAAGTGTTCCTGTTTCTCCACATTCTCTCCAGCACCTGTTGTTTCCTGACTTTTTAATGATCGCCATTCTAACTGGTGTGAGATGGTATCTCATTGTGGTTTTGATTTGCATTTCTCTGATGGCCAGTGATGGTGAGCATTACTTTAAGTTCTAGGGTACATGTGCACAATGTGCAGGTTAGTTACATATGTATACATGTGCCATGTTGTTGTGCTGCACCCAGTAACTCCTCATTTAACATTAGATATATCTCCTAATGCTATCCCTCCCCCCTCACCCCACCCCACAACAGGCCCCAGTGTGTGATATTCCCCTTCCTGTGTCCACGTGTTCTCACTGTTCAATTCCCATGTATGAGTGAGAACATGCGGTGTTTGATTTTTGTCCTTGCGATAGTTTGCTGAGGATGATGGTTTCCAGCTTCATCCATGTCCCTACAAAGGACATGAACTCATCAATTTTTATGGCTGCATAGTATTCCATGGTGTATATGTGCCACATTTTCTTAATCCAATCTATCATTGTTGGACATTTGGGTTGGTTCCAAGTCTTTGCTATTGTGAATAGTGCCACAATAAACATATGTGTGCATGTGTCTTTATAGCAGCATGATTTATAATCCTTTGGGTATACACCCAGTAATGGGATTGCTGGGTCAAATGGTATTTCTAGTTCTAGATCCCTGAGGAATCGCTACACTGACTTCCACAATGGTTGAACTAGTTTACAGTCCCACCAACAGTGTAAAAGTGTTCCTATTTCTCCACATCCTCTCCAGCACCTGTTGTTTCCTGACTTTTTAATGATCACCATTCTAACTGGTTTGTGATGGTATCTCATTGTGGTTTTGATTTGCATTTCTCTGATGGCCAGTGATGATGAGCATTTTTTCCTGTGTCTTTTGGCTGCATAAATGTCTTCTTTTGAGAAGTGTCTACTCATATCCCTCGCCCACTTTTTGATGGGGTTGTTTGGTTTTTTTCTTGTAAATTTGTTGGAGTTCATTGTAGATTCTGGATATTAGCCCTTTGTCAGATGAGCAGATTGCAAAAATTTTCTCCCATTCTGTAGGTTGCCTGTTCATTCTGTTGGTAGTTTCTTTTGCTGTGCAGAAGCTCTTTAGTTTAATTAGATCCCATTTGTCAATTTTGTCTTTTGTTGCCATTGCTTTTGGTGTTTTAGACATGAAGTCCTTACCCATGCCTATGTCCTGAATGGTATTGCCTAGGTTTTCTTCTAGGGTTTTTATGGTTTTAGGTCTAACATTTAAGTCTTTAATCCATCTTGAATTAATTTTTGTATAAGGTGTAAGGAAGGGATCCAGTTTCAGCTTTCTCCATATGGCTAGCCAGTTTTCCCAGCACCATTTATTAAATAGGGAATTGTTTCCCCATTTCTTGTTTTTGTCAGGTTTGTCAAAGATCAGATGGTTGTAGATATGCAGCATTATTTCTGAGGGCTCTGTTCTATTCCATTGGTTTATATCTCTGTTTTGGTACCAGTACCATGCTATTTTGGTTACCGTAGCCTTTTAGTATAGTTTGAAGTCGGGTAGCGTGATGCCTCCAGCTTTGTTCTTTTGGCTTAGGATTGACTTGGCAATGTGGGCTCTTTTTTGATTCCATAGGAACTTTAAAGTAGTTTTTTCCAGTTCTGTGAAGAAAGTCATTAGTAGCTTGACGGGGATGGCATCAAATCTATAAATTACCTTGGGCAGTATGGCCATTTTAACGATATTGATTCTTACTACCCATGAGCATGGAATGTTCTTCCATTTGTTTGTATCCTCTTTTATTTCATTGAGCAGTGGTTTGCAGCCTCTTTCAATCAACATAGTTTAAAAGCATGTTTATAGAATGCATTTGACTATTGGTAATAGAGGTTCTAAGTAACTCTGACTTAGCATTTACAATGACCATTATTTATTTAACAGAATGTATAAATGTGGGACAACTTGTCTGTGCACGATGTGATACCTTCATTTTCTAGTCTGCGTGTAGGTGATGCTTCCTCATATGATCACAAGAGAGCTGCCACAGGTACATGCATCACATTTACTCAACCATATTCATAGGAACCAGTGAGGCCTCTCTCTCTCTTCTTCCTCTCTCTTTCTCTTTCGCTTTCTCTCTCTCTCCCCGCCCCCCACCTTCGCCTTCCCTTCTCCTCTATTCTGAGGGTAGAAACAAATCCTAGTGTTGCCAGCAGAGGCCAGATAATATGTGTGTGCATAAATTGATCATGGGCAAAGTAGAAAGGGATACCATCATTGATTTACACTTACCATAGTTTCCTTTCCTAGGTGCAAACCTCCTTAGTAAAACTGGATTTCTCTTAGCAAGTAACAGTAATATGTAGGCAACCAGTATCATTGGCCACGAAGGTTTATCTGTATTCTACCACAGAAAGAATTATTGGACACTTTTCTCTCTACCTCTACCCTTTTTATTATTACTAACTTGTCCTATTTTATGACCTCACATTTTTATTCTAATATATTTTCAGGTTAAAAAGGAGTCTGCCATTTTAAAATGGAAAGTCTGTACTTTTTGAATAAATTAACTCTGGGAACTAGAGTTTTGCCTTGCAGAAATTATCAGCCACATCATGAACTGAATATAAATAGTAAAACCAAACAACAAAAAAAGAAATTTTCCATTATATTCAGTAATGGCTCCTTGATGAGGATAAAAATGTATCTACACATGAATTAGTATTTAAAAAATCAGAATTTTTCTTTTTATTTTATGTTTATTGTATGTGCAAATTTGAATACTATAATGTGTTTTTATTTAATTCATTTAGATGATTTTTTTCTACCTGGGAAAATAATAACTTCATTTCAGAGTTGCAAATACGCAGAGTACATGTACACATTTTAATTATTTTCTTCTGAAAATCATAAAAATTCTTATTGATTATATTGAGAATGTAAATGTTTTCATAAATTATGCTACATAAAATATAAAATCAAACATGATTTGTTCTGAGAAATTTGTTTAAAAACTTAGCTTATTCACAAATAAATGCCCTCACCAAAAAATGAAATAATATACTTGATTAAATATATTTTATCATGTTGGCATAATTAACAATTTAGAACATAGTCCCATATTAATGCACCAGTCAATGTGCTCCTGAAATTCAATGTCATTCCTACTAATACCATTTCTTTGGGCTTCTAGGCCATGGACAAGTTAAAATGAAACAACTTAATGGGCATAATACGTCATCTGATAAATTAAAATATAGCTAATTTTTTAAAGAATATAATTCCTACAGATAAAAAGCAATCAAAATGAGAGAAAAGTAGAAGAGGAAGTGGAGTGCTGCAACTTTCATGGTTAATATATAGAAACATTTACATATGAAAATGCTTCAAGTATCAATGTAATTTTTCTTTGGCTTTAATAAAATGGTAACTCTGGAAGGATCTTTATAAATGAAGGCTTTGAGGAGCTTAATTACAGTAACCTAGAATCACCCTTTTAGTTGTTAAATAAAAATTGTGTAAGGAACTCTGTCATTATGTTTTTAATAATGCATTCAAATTGAAATGTTTAGACACTTTTAGCATTTAGCAATTTTCTAAGAGTAAGTCAGCAGGTTAAAAATTAACATATTTCTTCAATGCAGGATAATTTAGTTACAATTTACATAATTTACTTAACACAGATACTTTCTGAAACATTCAATTTTTTAACCTTTAATGAAAAATCTAATGTCTTAGTAATAATGTAGTACTCTCTGAAACTGATAATTTGTAGAAATTATCATGTAATTTATCTTTTTGCTTTCAGTAATCAACAAGTTTCCATCCTTTTTTTGGAAGTAGTAAGTTAAAAATATTGCTCCTCTAAGACTATAAAATCACTTTAGATTTTAAATGTGTATATATAGTGCTCTAAAATGCATACATTGCAAAGAGAACAATCACATGAATAATAACAAATTATTTTTAAAAGTCATTCTATTCAATTCTATTTCATTTTTTAACTTGCCTATGAAAGTTTTTTGATCACTCACAAGTCTCAGTAAATATTAATATTATATTTCTTTGGTAGAGCATTTTAACTGCCATATATTAGTTTTTGTTAGAAAAATAAATTCACATAATTTACCAAATGAAATTGATGATTTCATGAAAAAATTGAGGTCAGAACACAATAATTACTTACATTTTTTCTAATTTGAGTTCTATGTGAACCTGCAGATTTTTGATAATCTAGCAAGAGTTTAGGCAATTACAAAATTAATATCCATTGAGCAGTTTAATACATTAAACATAATAGTCGAAAGTGTTTGGGCCGGGCGCAGTGGCTCACGCCTGTAATCCCAGCACTTTGGGAGCCCGAGGCAGGCAGCTCACGAGGTCCGGAGATCGAGACCATCCTGGCTAACATGGTGAAACCCCGTCTCTACTAAAAAATACAAAAAATTAGCCGGGCGTGGTCGCAGGTGCCTATAATCCCAGCTACTGAGGAGGCTGAGGCAGGAGAATGGCGTGAACCCGGGAGGCGGAGCTTTCAGTGAACTGAGATCACTCTACTGCACTCCAGCCTGGGCGACAGAGCGAGACTCCATCTCAAAAAAAAAAAAAAAAAAAAAAGAGTATTTGGGCACTAGTTATCTAATATGTAATGGTAAAAGGGTTTCTTCTTTAATAATTCTTAAGTTCTAACTCGTGTCTGAGAATTTTATGATTTTAAGACATTGTTCAAACAGAAAATAATGAAATAAAATTCTTAATAATTATGTTGAAGGCAAAGATTAGTAGTAGAAAATATGAATATATAATGCATTTTTAAGTGTAGTGGGTTGGAGAGTGGTTCCCAAATATGTGGCCACTCAGAACCTCAGAATGTGACCTTATTTGGAGTAATTGTCTTTGCAGATGTAATTAGGATAAGAATTACAAGATGAGGGATCATTTACATTTTGAGAGATCCTAAATCCAATGACTAGATTCCTCATAAAAACTATAATAAATGAGGACCCACAGAGACAGAGGAGACAGGAGAGAAGATTAAGTGATGAGAGAGGCAGAGATTATAGATATGCTTTCACAAGCCAAGAAACTCTAGGAGCTGGGAGAGGCACTTCCAGAGCCTTTAGAGAAAGGGTGTCATTGCCAGCACCTTAATTTCAGACATCTGCCTGCAAAATCATGAGAGATTACATTTCTATTGTTTTAAACCACCAAGTTAATGGTAATTTTTTATGGCAGGCTGAGGAAACTAATGCATTAAGAATTGTCTCTTGATTTCACAGCACATTAAAAAGAGTAATCTTACTTTTTACCAAGCGAAAACATGATGTTTGTATACACACACATATATATATAGTCATATATATATATAGTGACTCCTTGCCCACAAATCCACGAGTTTCAAATCCCCCAAATCTGAAAAACCTAAAGTTTTTGCTTTGGTTTTGGTAAGTTTGAGATCAACTCCACTGGGAGCATTGACTAATTGAATTTCCTAAAGTGATAAAAAATAATTATTTTGATTATACAGTAACTTTACATTTTATGACTGAAATGTGAAATAACATGTTAAGGGACACTTTAATAAAAATTTAAAATCAAAACTTGAATTAAAGTTTAATAACATGTGATATTGTCCATATATACAAGGCAAATGATGTGATGAATATATTAAAATGGGAAAAAGGAAATTTCCCTAGAATCAAGGAAATATGCAATAGCTAGCTTTATATTGAACTTCATTCATCATTGATGAAGACTGTCTCTAATACTTTCTCATCCTTAAAGTATCACCATTATTTTATAACCCTATCTTACTGCTGTTTAACTTGAATAAAATATTATTTTTTCTGTTTTTACATTTGTTTAATGTTTTAGTCTTTCATCAATTTATACACTATACATTCTCAGAAAAAATATGTATATTTATTATATATATGTATCCATATATCTTTATATGCCAATATCCGCATGTGTACCTATATGTGTATATGTCTCTGTATATTCAAAATAGGTTGCCAGATAAAAATATAGGACACCCAAATAAGCTTAAGATTTGCATAAGTAACACATTTTTAATATAAATATTCACTAATTATTACACTGCACATACTTAAACAACAAAGACAAATTGTGATGGTATTAGCAAAATGTATAGCATAGGTACTCATCCCTCCACAGCACCTAAAATAAAAAAAAAAACTGTCAGAATCAATATTGTCAGAACTCTGGAAAGTAGTTAAAGGTTAGCAGCAGCCAACCAAACAAAATTTTTAAATAGCACTTAAAAATGGTAGAAAAGTTTTGTAGTGTTTTTACTTGTTCTTGCTGTTCCTCCACCTCCCTAGCTCAGTGATGGTCTTGGACATGGCAGCCCATGTTCCCAGAGTGGTTTGATGGTCCTTTGTTCCAGAAGTAAATTAGATCTTATTTCAAATAGTAGTGTTTGTCCATTGTGACATTCTGGGAGTTCCTTAAGAGACTCAGGCAATTTGCTGGCCTTTGTTTCATGTAACTTAGAACTCTCAGGCAGAAAAGTGGCTGTACAGAGGGAATTCCTTTAAATGACTCTACAGAGAATGAATAACTCACTGCCACTTATGGCAAACAAGTAAGCAAGCTAAAAACCTGAGAGGAAAAGTTGATAATCTCTTTGAGAAATAAGGAAATGGAAAAGTTTCCACGTGTATGAGGGTTTCAAGAAGCCACACACATGCTTAAAGTAGAACACATACTTAGGAAACACTACGGAATTCAGCTTTTACCTTTACTCATCTCTAGGTTCAGAACAAGCAAAAAGTAAGACTATTGCATAGTTTCACGTGGTCTTGCTAGGTCATTGAAGGTGTGCCCAATGACAGATAATCTGTGACTACTGAGTCAGGTTTTCTTTTTTTTTTTTCTTCTGCCTTTCAATTTTTCTTTATGTGTCCTTTATTTTCTATCTTTCTTTTTATTTTCTTACTTTCTTTTCTTTCTCTCTCTTTATCTTTCTTTCCTTTTTCTCTCTCTCACTTTCATATCCAACATTTTAAGGAAATCTCTGCCAAACACTAGCTGACCACTATCTAAAAAACTTGGAGACTTCAGAAACCACTGATAAACTAAACACAACAAAGAATACAGACTTTATAAAGAAAGTTTTGAAAAGTCAAATAAAAATAAAATTACAATATACAGCAAATTATATGTAACAAACCTGGAAGAGAAGAAAATATCTAATATTATGCTGCCACATTGTGATACTAAAAATATTCAGATTTTAGAAAAGATTATAAATTATATAAAAATAAAAAATAATGGCCTTTTGCAGGAGAAGTTAAAAAAAGTTACCCCAAGGAAGCACACATATTGGTCTTCTAGACAAATATTTGAAATATAGTCTTAAATGTGGTCAAAGAGATAAAGAAAGCCATGGACAAAAAGCTAAAGGAGGCCTGGGGAAGAGTATCTCATAACTTGTTTTTAAGTTTTACAGGTCTTCAGACAAAGAAGAATTTTAGCCCCAGATGAATCATACCCAGAGTCTTACCTGTACCTGATTTAAATAATATTTGAGTGTTTTTGAATTGATATTTAAATGAGTTGTTGGGCTAGAGTTGATGTTGGAATGATTTAAACCTTCTGTGGATTCTCGGATGGGATGAAAATACTGTGCATGTCGCAGATTGTTATTGGTTGCATTGTATCTCCAAAATTAAATGTTCAAGTTCTAATCTGTAGTACCTGTAAATATAATCTTACTTAGAAATAAGATGTTTGTAGATAGAAACAAGTTAAGGTCATAATGGAGTAGGGTGGGCTCTAATTCAGTGACTTGTGTCTTTATAATAAGAAGGAAATTTGAACAGAGAGACACAATGGTAGACAGCAGTAGCAATTGGAATGAAGTGTGTAGAAACCAAGGAAAGGCAAGGATTGTTGGAACCACCAGAAACTGGGAAGAGGCATAGAACAGATGCTCTTTCAGGGTTGCCAGAAAGAACCATCCCTGCTTACACTTTGATTTAGGACTGCTGTTCTCCAGAAATGTAAGATAATACATTTATGTTGTTTTAAGACATGCAGTTTGTTATAATTTGTTACAGCAGGAAACTAAAAAAAGAAAACCATTGCCATTAATGAAAGACATGCTTTTACATACAGAATGCACACACAAACATACAACTATTTATTAGGTTCAAAAAGTAAATTCAGAAAAGTTGCAGGGTAAAAGATTTACATGCAAAAATCAGTTGTATTTATATATAAAAACAACGACCAATCTGAAAGGAAAATTGAGAAATCAGTTCCCTTTACAATAACATCTTAAAAAAGCCTGGTAATAAATTCAAATAAGGAACTGAAAACTCACACAACAAAAAGCTACAAAACATTGCTGAAATAACTTAAAGAGGATCCAAATAAATGAAAGGATAGCTCATGTTCATGGTTTGGATGACAATAATGTTAAGATTTACTTACTCGCGCAAGCAATCTACAGATCCAATGCAATGCCTCTTAAAATTTAAACAGCCTTCAGCTTTGCCTATCTGTTTTTGTTTGTTTGTTTGTTTGTTTCTTTTTTTTTGAGTTGGAGTTTTGCTCTTGTTGCCCAAGCTGGAGTGCAGTGGTGCAATCTTGGCTACTGCAACCTCTGCCTCCCAGGTTCAAATGATTCTCCTGCCTCAGCCTTCTGAGTAGCTGGGATTACAGGCGTGTACCACCACTCCCGGCTATTTTTTGTATTTTTAGTAGAGACGGGGTTTCACCAAGTTGGCCAGGCTGGTCTTGAACTCCTGACCTCAGGTGATCCACCTGCCACGGCGTCCCAAAATGCTGGGATTACAAGCGTGAGCCACCGCGCCCAACTGCCTTCCTTTTTAAAAAAGAAATATAAAAGACGATCTCCAAATTCATGTGGAAAGTAAGAAATTGTGAGTAGCCAAAACAATATTGAAAAGAAATCAATATTGGACAAATAATTTCTCTTGATTTCAAAACTTACTCGAAGCTACAGTAATCAAAGCAGTGTAACAATGGAATACAATAGGCATACAAACCAATAGAATAAAACTTAGAGCCCAGAATTTATGCCAAATGTAGACAGTCAATTGACTTTTGACAAAGGTGTCAATGTGGAAAAGAATAATCTCTTCAACAATTGGTATAGGCACAACTGGATATCCATTGTCAAAGAGTGAGGCTGGAACCATCCCTAACTCACATGGTATGCAAAAATTGACTCAAAATGGATCAGTGACCTAAACATGACCTAAAAGTGTAAACTTCTCAGAGAAAAACATAGGAGTAGATCTGCATGATGATGGATTTAGCAATCCTTCTTGGAAATGACACCAAAAATATGAGTAACAAATAATAAATTAGATTTCATTAAAATTGAAAACAATGAGCATCAAATGACATTATCAAGATAATGAAAAACAACTTACAGAACTAGAGAAAATATTTGAAGCCAATATGTCTAGTAAGGGTCTAGTCTCCAGAATTCTTATAGAAACAACTTAACCACAGAAAGACAATCTTCTTAAAAATAAGCAAAGATTGAAATAGATATTTCTTCAAAGAAAATAAACAAATTGAGAACAAGCACATAAAATGAGGTTCAACATCCTTAGTCATCAGAGAAATGCAGATCTCAATCTCAAGGAGATACCAGTTTACACCCATTAGGTTGACTATATTAAACAATTTTAAAAATAAAAATAATGAGCATTGGCAAACATTTGGAAATACTGCAACCTTTATATATTGTTGGTAACAATATAAAATGGTAACATTATTGTTGAAAAGAGTTTTGCATTTATTTAAAAATTAAATGTAGAATTACCATATAACCATGCAATTCCATTCCTACATATATACCAAGAAAGAATAAAAAACAGGTACCCAAATAATATATGTATATAGATGTTCATAGCAATAGTACTTACAAAAGACAAAAGATGGAAACAGTCTACGTGTCCATCAATGGAATAATGAATTAACAAACTCTGATAAATGCATACAATATCGTATTTTTCAGCCATTATAAAGAATGAACTATTTACATATGTTACATCATGGATGTAACTTTCTCTCACTCTCTGTGTTTTTTTTCTTTTTTATTTTTTTTTTTTTAGCTCATCAGCTACCATTGCTTTTAGTGTATTTTATATATGACCCAAGATAATTATTCTTCTTCCAATGTGACCCAGGGAAGCCAAAAGATTGGACACCCCTGCTCTAAAGCATTATTCTAACTAAAAGAATTCTAACTAAAAGAACAGTAGAGAGTGACTGTTTAATAGGTATGAGATTTATTTTAGGGTGATGGAAATGTTTTAGAAATTGATTTAGTTGGTGGTTGCAGAACACTGTGGATGTAGTAAATGCCACTGAAATGTACCTTTTAAAATGGTTAATTTCATGCTCTGTAAATTTCATCTCAATAAGGAAAAAAACCTTATTTGTTGTTTACTTGAAATTTCAATTTGACTGAGTATCTTGTGTTTTACCTGGCAATGAACATATGTATGTGTATACATATATGTGTGATATATTATCTGTATCCTTAATCAAAACACTATACAAAAATAGGCATTGAAAAAGTAATCTTTAAACAGCAAATTGCTTAATATTGTCAGTCTTTTAGTCAATTAAAATGACACAATCATTTCCCTTGCATATAATAGCTATTTTTGTCTTTCAGACCTACATATGCTACTCTGCAGAGCATAGTTTAAATATCTTTATGTTTACAAAAAATGATTTAACAATTCTGTATACAAGTCACTGTTCTCTTTTTAATTTTTGTATATAGAAAGCACTACTGTTAATTACCTTCCTGTACTCCTGTGCTACATATCTTTTTCCTTTCTGTACTCCTATTCTTCACATGTTATTTTTATTACCAATGCAGCCTTAAATTTATATTTTTAAATTGATGTTTTTGAATTTTGTTTTTTCAATGACATAATTTCCTGTGGCCACTGCACCTGTGTTTCTTATATCTGTTGCCTTTTGGAGCGTATAGCACAATACCACCAGATGACCCAAAATTATGGAGACAAGTAAAATAAAAGATTGAAATTTTTATTTTGTTTTTCTTTTATTTTACTATAACTGACTTTACCAATAGTTTCTTTGTCCAACAGCATAAGAAATATAGCAATGATTTTACAATCTCTTTATAATAGAACAAAACAAAGCGCAGAAGAAATGGCTGTGTACATAAGCCAAACTTGATGCAGCGAGAGGTAGAGCTGGGGTTACATGACAAGCATATTAAAACATGATTTGAAATGAGACTTAGCAAATTTTTTCTGCAAGATGATCCTACTAATAGGAGGGCAGCATGGATCAAGAGCTCTCTGCCCACTGTGGAAGCAGGGCTAGCTGAAGTGAGCACTGGCTTAGTAGAAACCATAGTATTCAAAGAGTGCCAACAGTGGAATTAAAACATGAAAGAGATGAGCTCAGCAAGTCAGAGGGAACAAATCTTTTTGGGTACTTTAATTTTGGGAAGTTTTTTTTAATGTTCTGAAAATAATTTCTGAAAGCAATATAGTTAAAATTTAGAATTTTAACCCCTTTAAAACTAAATTATAGTAAGAGAGCACATTTATTTTGCCTTTCCATTTTTCATAATCTCTGTAGGCTTGTTAAGAATGCTAAAAACAAAGCTAAATATCTGTCCTATCTTTGAAAGTAGATATCATACCTTCTAAACATAAATCAGTGTTTTTCTTTCACATAATATATTTTGTAGAAAACATTTTCCTTTTGAGAATGAGCTTGAATCTAGGATTTAGTGTAAGATACAGTACTAATCAAAATCAAAGTAGTGAGTGTTTATATTGAAGTGGTGATCAGAAGGTTCTATCTAAACCTTCTGAGCTTTACAATAAAATGCTATATATTTGAAAAAAACAGGTTGTGTCTTTTAATAATAATACATGTATTTTAGTTAAATTCAAGTAAAGCTCATGCAATACAAAGCTTTGAGTTTTTAAAGAGTAATGGTTATTAACTGCTGTTTCTAGGACGGGCACAATATAAATATCATGACAATTCAAAATCAGGGAACATAATTTTGTTATATACTCTTCTTAAAAAGTGCCAACTTCTTTCAGAGGATCTTAAAGTCCCTCTCTCATTGTTGTAACAGCAGAAATAACGCTGATGCTATTTAGCCAACCCAGGCATTGAAGAAAGAACATAGGCAAGAAAGATCACAGTATAGAACCAGAATAATGCAGTGATGGCTCTTAGAGGTAAAACAAATAAAAGGCATTTTGCACAATAAAAAGGAGAAAAAATAAAGCCTTCTGTAGACAGCAGAAGATTTGACTCAGCAATTAGAATTGGCCCTTTCATTTACCATAAAACATACTACTGTCTAAACATCATTTCTGTGTTTGGTGTTATGGCCACAATGTTGAATTGGATTCAACAACCAGATAAAACTGATAACCTGGAAATACTTAGATTAATACCATTTTCCCTATGCTTCACTTGATTGTGCTTCACAGATATTGCATTTTCTACAAATTGAAGATTTGTGACAATTCTGCATTGAGCAAATCTATCTAACAACACAGGTTTACTCCTTATCTCTGTTTTACCATTTTTGGCACTTTTTGCAAACTATTTTAAATTTTTCATTATTATTATATGTGTTGTGGTGATCTGTGATCAGTGACCTTTGCTGTTGCTATTGTAATTGTTTAGGGGTGCCACGAACCATGCCCATATAAGAGGACAAGCTTCATCAAAAAATGTGTGTGTTCTGACTGTCCCACCAAGCCGCTATTAACCCTTTTCATTCATTCCCTCTTCTCAGACCTCCTTATTTTCTGAGGCACAATGATACTGAAATTAGTACAATAACCCTACAGTGGCCTCTAAGTGTTAAAGTGAAAGAAAGAGTTGCATATCTCTTCAAATCAAAAACTAAAAGCGATAATGCTTAGTAAGGAAGGCATGTTGAAAGCCAAGATAGGCCAAAAGCTAGGCCTCTTGCACAAAGCAGTTAGCCAAGCTGTGAATGCAAAGGAAAATTTTTGAAGGAAGTTGAAAGTATTATGCCAGTTGAACACAGAAATGATAAGAAAGCAAAACAGCCTTATTGCTGATATGGAAAAAGTTTTAATGATCTAGATAGATCAAACCAGTTATAACACTCCCTTAAACCAATGCTTAATCCAGAACAAGGCCCTAAGTCTCTACAATTCTATGAAGGCAGAGAGAGATGAGGAAGCTTCAGAAGAAAAATCGGAAGCTAGCAGAGGTTGGTTCATGAGGTTGAAGAAACTCATCTATCTCGATCACATAAAAGTGCAAGGAGAAGCAGAAAGTACTAATATAAAAGCTGCATCAAGTTATACAGAAGATCTAGCTAAGGTAAATGATGAAGGTGGCTACATTAAACAACAGATTTTCAGTGTAGACAAAACAGCCTTCTACTGGAAGAAGGTGCCATTTAGGAATTTTATAACTAAAGAGAAGTCAATGTCTGGGTTCAAAGCTTCAAAGGACAGGCTGACTCTCTTTTTAGTGGTTAATGCCGGTGGTGACTTTTAAGTTGAAGCAAATACTCATTTACCATTTCAAAAATTGTAGGTCCTTTAAGAATTATACTAAATCTACTATTCCTATGCTCTCTACACAGATTAACAAAGCCTGCATGACAGCATATCTGTTTGTGCTATGGTTTACTGTATATTTTAAGTCTACTTTTGAGACTTACTGCTCAGAAAAAGTCTTTTCAAAATAATTGCTGTTGATCGAAGATGCACCTCGTCAACCAATAGCTCTGGAGATGTATAAGTAGACTAATGTCGTTTTCATGACTGCTAACACAACATCCATTCTTCAACCTACCAATCAAGGAGTCATTTTGACTTTCAAGTCTTATTTAGGAAATACATTTTGTAAGGCTAGCAAGGTAACTACAATTAGAAGTAGAATCTGAAGATGTGACTGAATTGGGGCAATTTTGTGATAATACTTGAATGACTGAGAAATTGCTTCTATGGATGAGTAAAGAAAGTGGTTTCTTGAGATGGAAACTGTTCCTGGTGAAGATTCTGTGATCAATGTTGAAATGACAATAAAGGCTTTAGAATATTCTATAAACATAGTTAATAAAGCAGCAGCAGGGATTGAGAGAATTGACTTCAGTTTTGAAGAAAGTTTTACTGAGGCTAAAATGCCATCAGGCAGAATCATGCTATAGACAAAACATTCATGAAAGGAAGAGTCAATGGATGTGGCAAGCTTCGTCGTTATTTTATTGTAAGAAATTGCCATAGCCACCACAGCCTTTAGTAGTCACTACTCTGATCAGTTAGGAGCCAACAATGTCAGGCCAAAACTCTCCACCAGCAAAATGGGATTCACTGAAAGCTTAGGTGATTATTAGCATTTTATAGTAAAAATTATTTTAAAATTGTGTACATTGTTTAGACATAATGCTACTGCACACTTAGTGAATTATAGTACAGTATAAACATAACTTTTTATGTTCTGAGAAACCAGAAACTTTGTGTGAGTTGCTTTATTGCAATATTTGCTTTATTTCAGTGGTCTGGAATCACACAGTATTTCTGAGGTATGTTTGTGTAATAGACAGAGTTACAATTAAGAAAAATAACAACAAAGAACAGAAGATATTACCATAGACTTTAAGAGACCTTAGTGGAGGTCTATTCTACTTTAGAGAGAAAATTTTATGATGCAGAAAGAGCATATGTGGGGTGGATTTCTGGGAGACAAAGCTGTTCTACATAGCTAAACATGGGGTACAAGCCATGGGAAAAAGTCAAAGGTGATATTGAAAAGGAAGGGCATGCTGTGAAGTGATTTTCATGCTCTGTTAAAAATAAATTTAACTGGCCGGGCATGGTGGCTCATGCTTGTAATCCCAGCACTTTGGGAGGCCAAGGCAGGCAGATCACGAGGTCCGGAGATCGACACCATCCTGGTTAACACGATGAAACCCCGTCTCTACTAAAAATACAAAAAATTAGCTGGGCGTGGTGGCGGGCGCCTGTAGTCCCAGCTACTCAGGAGGCTGAGGCAGGAGAATGACGTGAACCCAGGAGGCAGAGCTTTCAGTGAGCTGAGATCGCACCACTGCACTCCAGCCTGGGCCACAAAGTGAGATTCCATCTCAAAAATAGATAAATAAATATAAATAAATGAATAAATAAATAAATAACTATTTCATAAAAACAATGTAGTCATTGAAATTTTTTATCAGGAAATTAACAAGAATGGACTAGTACAAATTATTCTTTCTGTGATATGAAGAAAACAGTTGAGTCTTGTGTTAAAAATACAAAAGAAACACGGGCAGAATAAAAGGGTGTAATGTCAGTGGGAATAGGGAGAAGTTCAAACATTTAAAAATCAGTAGAATTTAGTGAGTGGTTAGATATTGGCGTAGGTAAAAGAAGACTCAAAAATAGCATGCTGGTTTCTGAAATGGTTGGCTATTTGAATGGTGGTAAAATTAAATGAAACAGGTCAAAGTGGGAGAAGCAGGTTTAATTTCAGATGTAGCGAATTTGAGATGCCTGTGGCTCCAGCAAAGTAAATTGATCTAGATGTTTAATCCTAATAAGTTGTAGACTAAAATATCAGTGGATTAAAAAGACAAAAAGTTTATTGCTCACTTGTGTTATATGTTCATTATGAATAAGCAGTGTTCTCTGGATTCCAGATGCCTACTTATTCCAGTGAGATCCATTCTGAATTCAAATGTTTTATGGGAAGAGAAGCAGAGGCTCTAATTATTCTAAAAGAGACACTATTTTAGAGGTACCATAATTATTGTGTTGGTGCATTAGAAAAAGCCTAGCCTGAGATCATCTATCATATTCTTATAAGCTCTATTTTGGTCTTATTCTCATTAAACATTCCTGCATAAGTCACAGTAGTTCTTAAGGAAGGAAGACTCTGCTTAATTAATGACAAACTCAGTAAAATATACTCCGTATTTAAAAGACCAACAGTAAAACTCTGTAATTGACATTCACAAGTTAAACTATCTTCTAAAAGTAGAAACTGAACTTCCATTGAATCAATATGGTTTCCAGGCTTCATTTCACACTTTTCCATAATTAGAGTTAGCTGAATGTATTTAGGCCCTGGAATTCATGCTGAATTACCAGACAAGACTTTCTTATCTTTAAAGGTAAATTATATTTTAGCACTTTATTGTATTCTAGTGTAGCTGACTTGAGACTATCTCAGTGAAGAGGTACTGTTAATGTTAAAAATTGAAATAACAACATTCAAATATTAGATATCTTAGCTTCTAGGAGTATGCTAGATTGCTATAAAGAATTATTCACCTCTTTATCTACCCAGGGGAAAAGAACTCATTATGCAAAAAAGATACTTGCACATGCACATTTTTTGCGGCCCAATTCAAAATTGCAAAAATATAGAACCAACCCAAATCCCCATCTATCAATCAGTGGATAAAGTAACTGTGGAATACTACTCAGCCATAAAAAGAAATATAATAATGACATTTGCAGCAATCTGGATGGAACAGGAGGCCATTATTCTAAGTGAAGTAACTCAGGAATGGAAAACCAAACATCGTATGTTTTCACTCATAAGTAGGAGCTAAGCTATGAGGATACAAAGGCATGAAAATAATGCAATGGACTTTGGGGACTCTGAAGAAGGGGTGGGAAGGGGATGAGGAATAAGAGACTATACACTGGGTACAGTGTCCACTGCTTGGGTGCACCAAAATCTCAGAAATCACCGCTAAAGAACTTATCCATATAACCAGACACTACCTGTTCTGTTATCCCAAAACTATTGAAGTTTATATATATATATTTCTCTCTATATGTATATGAATATATATTACTTATTCACCCCCTCTCCAAAGGCCAGCCATACATTCCAAGAAAGTCCTGAAAGATATAGTTTTGCTAAGACACATGAAAGACCTCTAGTAGATTAAGGTTGCCTGTGTGTGAATAAGGTTATGACACTTCCTCACTGTCTGATCTGACAAATTACCTAAGTTATATACCTCAGTTTCCTCACTTCTAAAATAAGGATGGAATTCTATGTGAAAGAGATTTTGTGAAGACTTTATATGCCAATTCATGGCAAATGCTTAGAGTTATAACTGGCATATAATAAGTGCTAATTATATATGCACTTATGTATATGCATATTATATATATGCAGAATAATAATATCTGTCACTGTTATTACTACTATCAATATTACAAGTATAGTCACTTGCCTGTCATCTAAAAACTGAAGGGTATCAGAAATACTCTTTCGGGACTAAATATCATCTGCAAAAAGATGATTAGCTATAAACAACTAGGGAAGTAAGTAGTTGCCAATGTTTGTATCATAGTTTGGCTCCATTGAAACATTTCAGACAATACAGTAACAGGTAAATGCCATCCATTACCTAAGGGAAGTGTTCATTATAAGGAAGATAGAAGCATATTGATCTGGGCATAACAGTGGGGAAATGATGACGTGGGCAAAATTTTCAGCATTGAAGTGAATAAAGAGCTGAAAGACTGCATTCACTTGAGAAATGCAACTCTCATAGTGATTGCATTCACTATGGAAAAAGTATGCGCATGCAAGGATCATATCGAGTTTCAACAGAAAGAGGAAGATAATACTCAGAGAAAATATTGAGGTTATACATGCTTTTTCCAGAGGGCATTATGAGAATATTTTGGAAGGGCACAAGCAGAGGGGGTTGAAAGAAGTGAAACAAAGCTCAGAAGAGAGTGATTAATTAATTCATAACTTGGTGATGATGACCATTAATTCGTAACTTGGTGATGATGATGATAATAGAAGAATAGGAATGAATGCAGGAGGCGTACAAAGAAGCCATCTCGGTATGGCACACTTAAAAGAGAAACTGGATTGGACTACAATTGTACCCAGCCAGATCAGCAAACCTTTAGTGCACTGGCTTTCAAACATGTTTAATCATGGCTAACTTAGGCAAAAATAAATATTCAGCTGTCCCATTACATAGATTACATAAACATATTTTTAAAACAAAAATGTTAAACCTGAAAATGTTTCAAAATGTGTCAGAGATTATCCCAGAAATATAGCAATTTTTAGTTTCAGAATTCCAAAATTTAGTAACATCAAACAGTAGGTTCCTCTAAAAAATTATTTGGCTCTATATTATAAATAACAGTCTAAATACCCACCACCTAACAGTAATGATCAAAGATAAAATATATTACTTGTACTTGGAAATATAGTACTTTGTAGACTCAAAAGTATATATATATATACTGACATGGTTTGGGTCTGTGTCCCCACCCAAATCTCATGTCAAATTCTAATTTCCAGTGTTGAAGGAGGGGCCTGCTGGGAGGAAATTAGATTATGAGGGCAGATATCCCCCTTACTGTTCTCATAATACTGAGTAAGTTCTCATGAAATCTGGTTGGTTGAAAGTGTGTTGCTCGTCTCTCTTTGCCATCTCTTCTGTTCCTTCTGCTCCTGCCATGTAAGACATACTGGCTTCCCCTTTGCCTTCCACCATGATTGTAAGTTTCCTGAGGCCTCCCCCAGCCATACTTCCTGTACAGTCTGTGGAACTGTACCTCAATTAAACCTCCTTTTTTAATAAATTACCCAGTCTCAGATAGTTCTTTATAGCAGTATGAGAACAGACTAATACAGAAAATTGAGACCAGGAGAGTGGTGCATTGCTATAAAGATAACTGAAAATGTGAAAGTGACTTTGGAACTGGGTAACAGAGTTTGGAACAGTTGGAAGGGCTCGGAAGATAGGATGATGAGAGAAACTTCAGAACTTCCTAGAGACTGGTTGAATGGTTGTGACCAAAATGCTGACAGTGATATGGACAGTAAAGTCCAGGCTGAGGTGGTCTCAGATGGAGATGAGAAACTTATTAGGAACTGGAGTATGGGTCACTCTTGCTACACTTTAGCAAAGAGACTGGCAGTATTGTACCCCTTCCCTAGAGATCTGTGGAACTTTGAATTTGAGTGAATTGATTCTGGGTATCTGGCAGAAGAGATTTCTAAGCAGCAAAGCATTCAAGATGTAACCAGGATGCTTCTAACAGCAAAATATCATATTCATTTGCAAAGAAATGGTCTGAATTGAACCTATATATAAAAGGGAAGCAGAACATAAAAGTTTAGAAAATTTTCAGCCTGACCATAAGAAAAACCCATTTTCTGGGGAGGAATTCAAGCCAACTGAAGAAATTTGCATAGAGGGGAGGTAAATATCAGTAGCCATGACAATGGGAAAAATGCTTCCAAGACATTTTAGAGACCTTCATGACAGCCCCTCCCAACACAGGCTTGGAGGCCTAGGAGGGAAAAGTGGTTTCATGGGCCAAGCCCAGGGCCATGCTGCTAAGTGCAGCCTCAGGACATGGTGCCCTACATCATGGCTGCTCCAGCTCTAGCCATCACTAAAAAGCACCAAAATACAGCTACGGCCATTGCTTTAGAGAGTGCAAGCCCCAAGCCTTGGCAGCATCCATGTGGTGTTAAGCCTGCAGGTGAGCAGAGAGTAAGAGTTGAGGCTTAGGAGCTTCTACCTAGATTTCAGAGGATGTATGGAAACATCTGGAAGTCCAGGCAGTAGTCTGCTGCAGGGTTGGAGCCTTCATGAAGAACCTCTACTAAGTGAGTGCAGAGAGGAAACGTGAGGTTGGAGCCTTCACACAGAATCTCCAACTGGACACTGCCTTTTGAAGCTGTGAGAAGAGGACCAATATCCTCTAGACCCCAGAATGGTAGATCTGCTGACAGCTTGCACCGTGCACCTGAGAAAGCTGCAGGCACTCAATGCCAGCTCATGAAGCAGCCACAGGGGCTGTACCCTGCAGAGCTACAGGGGTGGAGCTGCCCAAGCTCCCTTTGGGAGCCCACCCCTTGCATCAGTGTGGCCTAGATTTAAGATATGGAGTCAAAGAAAGTTATGTAGAAGGTTTAAGATGTAATGACTGTCTGCTGGATTTTGGGCTTGCAGAGGGTCTGTAGCCCCTTTGTTTTGGCCAATTTATCCCATTTGGAAAAGGAGCATTTACCCAATGCCTGTACCCCCATTAAATCTTCGAAGTAACTAACTTGTTTTTGATTTTACAGTAGGTGGAAGGGACACTTGCCTTTTCTCAGATGAGACTTTAGACTTGGACTTTTGAGTTAATTCTGAAATGAGTTAAGACTTTGAGGGATTTTGGGGAAGGCATGATTGTGTTTTGAAATGTGACAGAAACATGGGATTTTGGAGAAGTCTGGGGCAGAATGATATGGTTTGGTTTTGTGTCTCCACTCAAGCCTAATATCAAATTATAATTTCCAGCGTTGAAGGAGGGGCCAGGTGGAATGTGATTAGATTGTGGGGGTGTATTTCCCCTTTGCTGTTCCCATGATAGTGAGTGAGTTCTCATAATATCTGTTTGTTTGAAAACAGATGTGGCACTTTCTCTTTTGCCCTCTCTTCTCTTCCTCCTGCTCCCAACACGTGTGGGCTTCTCTTTCACCATCTGTCATGATTGTAAGTTTCCTGAGGCCTCCCTAGGTATGCTTTTTAGACAGCTTGTGGAACTGTGAATCAATTAAACCTCTTTTCTTTATAAATTTCCCAGTCCCAGGTAGTTCTTTGTAGGAGTGTGAGAATGAACTAATACATATACTATGCATAGCACATGGTCATTTTGTTTTTGCTTTTAGAGCTTGAACAAAAGAATAACGTAAAAATTATCTTCATTTTATCTGGTGGATTGTATGTTACATAAATCCTTTTATAGACGTTATTGAAAACCTAAATGGCATGTCTTAAGAAGGCTTCAGAGTCAACATTTGACATTAGTCATAAAAAGAATAAAAAATGTTTTGGAATTATATTAATAATTGTGTTAGATAATTAGGTCTATACATCATACAAAAATAACTGGCTTAAAATGCTATGTTCTATTTTATTTGAATTTATTATAATATAAAAATTATATTTTAATATATATTCTTGATGATTAATTATACTGTAAAAATTAATTATACTGAGTTCTTATGTTTAAAAACATATTTATGTGGTTTTCTTAATACTGGATCCAAATTTTTTAACAACAGACAGAAACAAATAGCTGGGTTTCACAATATTACTCAGTTTCTGAATTACGAAAATCTTCATAGGATTAAATAATTTGATTTTATTGCACTGGCGTCTTTTGATTATATTGTTTGCTTTGTTATATATTGTCTTTTGAAATTTTACTTTGTTAAGTTTTTTGTTTGTTTGTTTGTTTTGAGACAGAGTCTTGCTCTGTTGCCCAGACCGGAGTGCAGTCTGCTCACTGCAAACTCTGACTCCTGGGTTCAAGCAATTCTCAAGCTTCAGTCCCCCAAGTAGCTGGGATTACAGATTTACACCACCATGCCCAGTTAATTATCACATTTTTAGTAGAGACGAGGTTTCTCAGTATTGGCCAGGCCGGTCTCAAATTCCTGGCCTCAAGTGATCCACCTACCTTGACCTCTCACAGCGCTGGAGTTACAGGTATGAGCCACCATGCCTGGCGTTATTACATATTTTATCATATTTCATCATTCAACCTTAAGTGGATTTCTCTGTTTTGTACTCGACACATAATAATGAAGGATAACCCTATTTTTATATTCTGTGCAAGCACATACAAAGATCAAATTTAAAAAGCCCTTTTTAGTTCAAAAAATTATACCTGGCCAGGCACTGTGGCTCACGCCTGCAATCCCAACACTTTGGGAGGACGAGGTGGGCAGATCACCTGAGGCCAGGAGTTCGAGACCAGCCTGGCCAACATGATGAAACCCCGTCACTACTAAAAATACAAAAAATTAGTTGGGCATGGTGGTGAGCATCTAATCTCAGCTACTTTGGAGGTTGAGACTGGAGAACTGCTTGAGCTGGGGAGGCAGAGGCTGCAGTGAGCTGAGATCGCACCATTGCACTCCAGCCTGGGCAACAAGAGTGGAACTCCATCTAAAAGAAAAAAAAAGCAACTTTAAATACCCTAACCTTTTTACAGAAATATATACCTGTTCTTTACACAAACATGCATTATAAATTTTGTTAGGCTCTACTTGTACGCACAGAGGAACGTTAAGACTGAGTATACTTTATTCCCACACTCTGAGGACTTTTGGTAAAGGAGACCATAAGAGATGATAGTAGCATGTTTTCGTTTCACACAGAACCTTTTAGAACCAGAGTATTAATAGTAATTATTATATAGTAATCAACGTCTACCACATCCCTGAAATGAGCCTTACAGACTCTCTTTAAAGAGAAATGTGATTCACACTCTTTTATGTGTATGCAAACACACATATTTTGTTACTGCTATTAAACTCATAAATTGACAATTTATTAGTTATTTCAAGATTTATATATTTATTTACTACACCTCTGTGTTTATGATAGAGCATCTCAAATATTATATCATATCCTACAAATCCACTCCAAATTTTGATATGAGAAACTACAACAATAATTTGAGACTGGAGCTAATAATACAACACCAAAAAGATTCAAATATAACCTCTAAGATTAGCTTTTAGTATACTGCTCTCCATGCGAGATTTGTCAGTAATTTTTAAAAATTGTTTTGCTTGTCCAGATATTTTGAGGTTACTCTGTTTTCTTTTGTTAAACTACAAAAACCTCAATTTAGGGAAAATCCGATATATGGTTATGATATATAAATGTACTGAGATTATTTAATTTTTAAATAAATATTTAGATTTGATTTTAAAAGGGAAATTGAAAACAATAATTAAGATGTATTAGTGAGCCTTCAAAAGTATAATTTAGTAAACATGGAACTATATTTAAAATTTATACAGTTATTAGAAAATAATGCAATACTGATATTTTTTAAAGCAACAGCAACTGATTTTAAATATTTTAATTTAAATTCAAAGTACAAAATATTTTTAGATATTCACAAGTCCAAAAATTTAAGGTTAGTGAAAAAAATGACATCTTATTAGATAGACAAATATAGTTCTATATTACAATAATGTACAAAAGTAAAGTTTTTGTATAGGAAATAGAGAAGGGATCTTCAAGCAATTTTATTTATTGATGGGAAAAACTGAAAGAAATATGAGCCAGAAAGAAGCAAGCTGTGAAGAATGTTTCATATTGGAGTGAAATGTGATTTTTGAATAAGTGAGATGCAATAGAGAAGACAGTGAGAAGATGAAGTGTCACATTATCCTATTGTACATTGAAGCATAAGTGAGTCCTATACTAATCTATTTCATCTGCTAGAGGATAGATTGGCTATCATCTGAGGAGACCTGAACTGTCAGGAAAAATTCAGTGTAAGAAGAATTTTTTTTCCCTTTAACCTTTCAAAAGCAGAAATAGGTCTTTCAGTCCGGAGTGCTTATGTGGCAATCAAATGAAGAGCCAGAGAGTCCTCAAGGAATAACTGCTGGGAAATGAACTCACTTAGAATTTATAAAAGTTATCTAAAAGCTTGGTGAAATTTAAGCTCAAACAATAAATTACAGTTGTAGAATGCTGAGCCATAAAATAAGAAACATCAGATGCAAATAATAAAACACACAATTATTCACCTTCCTAATGACACTGATGGTCGACATCAGGGGAAGAAGCCAAGGTCATTTCATTTCAATTTGGGAAAATCACTGGTCAATCAAGGCAGAACATATATATCCATCCATCATTCAAGTCCGGTAAATCCAGTCACCACGGGGAAAATGTTTCATAATATCACGTTTGAGCATTTACTCAAAGATGAATATTTGGGGCGGTAGGTAGAAGTTTACACCTCCGAGACACCAGGATGGATGCTCACGTGCGCGCACGTACACACACACACACAGACACATCAGGTATTAGGTATGTTTTTCAATGTGAGTATAATATTTATAAAGGTTAGATTTATACCCTGAGAAATAATGGTTCATTTTATAAATATTAATAGGTTCTTAAATTTTTCAGTTTTCTGTTTTATAAAATTCAGAAAATATGAAGAACCTCAGCCTACAAAAATATACTTCTGGCCGGGCGTGGTGGCTCACGCCTGTAACCCCAGCATGTTGGGAGGCCAAGGCAGGAGGATCACAAGGTCAGGAGTTCAAGACCAGCCTGGCCAACATGGTGAAACCCTGTCTCTACTAAAAATACAAAAATTAGCCAGGCATGGTGGCATGTGCCTGGATTCCCAGCTACTAGGGAGGCTGAAGCAGGAGAATCAATTGAACCTGGGAAGTGGAGGTTGCAGTGAGCCTAGATTGTGCCACTGGACTCCAGCCTGGGCAACAGAGCGAGACTCCATCTCTTTCTTTCTCTCTCTCTATATATAATATCTGTGTACATATACATATATTCACACTCTTTTATGTGTATGCAAACACAGATTTTGTTATTGTTATTAAACTCATAAATTGACAATTTATTACTTATTTCAAGATTTATTTATATATATATAAATTATATATATATGGTTTTTTTTTCTGATATGTCCTAATCTAGAGGGTTTTTTCTTTTTTCAGGTAGATTAAAATACAGGAAATCGTATGGAATCCATTCTCAATGGACACCATTTCTTTTTGATGCTGGGATATAGACTCTACTGTTTCTTTTTATATAGAAAATAGAGAAGGGCCTTTACTGTATAAGTTAAATGCTTGAAGAGGGTGATAAGTGATTTCGTTAACACAATCATTGGATAGATATCAGTTTATCACAAACAAAAATGTACTAGGCACTGTGAAAGGAGCTGGGTTCAGGAAAGAAATGACATAGCACCAGGCTTCATAGAACTTACATCTTACTATGAAAGATATGTGGAAGTAATTACAAAATAACAACAAAGATCAAATTGTATGTTCTAAGAAAGAAATTCTGAAGAATATTATAATGGGAAAACAAAGCAGCAATAAGGATATTTTTCATAAGTTATTTGATAAATTCCTTTTGGAAAAATGATATGTAAACTGAGGCATGAGTCCCAAAAAATGAGAAACTGTGAGCCATGAAAAAGGATGAGAATGTGCATTTCACACCTAGGACCTAGCAAGGACAAAGGTTCTGCATTAAAGAGTACTTAGCTTGTTAAAGGATTGTGAGAAGAAAAAGAGTATATTAAGTTAGCATGAGAATGGCACAAAGTGAGGTTGGGAAAAAAATTTGCCCTGTAAAGAGTTGAAATTTATTTTAGGAGCAATGGCATATAACATGACCTTCTTTCCCGAAAATCTCACTCTGTGTATACTAATGCTTGGAATGGAAGAGTGCAAAATAGGAGGCTATCTCAGTAGGCAAAAAATTATGGACATCCACAATAACTATGGGTATCTTAAAAGGAAAGTAATTGACATAAAAAAAGCATTTTCATTTAGTCAATATGTCAAAATTTGTTGTGATGAACAGCTAAGAGTAAAAATGGAGGCTATATTATGCATTAAACGTGAATTTGTTCTTTAAAGAAAAAACCTGAACAATATTAAACACAATCCACATATTTCAATGAGCATTAAAATACAATCTGCACTTAAAGACATCAAGAGAAAAGATAACAAAATGAATTTATAAGGCAAACAATAAAACCAATAATTTTAAGGAAATGATGAAACCTATGTGCAAACTAACAAAACATGCACAGACGTGGGCTTAAAATAAGAGACCTTGATGAGAAAACACCAGCAAAAACCGCAAAGCTAATTATCACCTGTGTTCACCTCATTGTGCTCTGCATCTGATGAAGAAACTTACACATTATAATATGGATTTTATAAGTACCAACCAGTAAAGACAGAAAAGGGAGGGAGAACATTAAAACTGAGGAAAGAATAGACTGATTTGCAATAAATTTGCCAGTAAAAGGAGAGAACAACATGACCTTAATGTGGACGTGGGAATAGGGAGGTCATTGTATTAGTCTCTTATTGCTGCTGTGACAAATTACCATAAATTTAGTGTTGTAAAATAATATAAATTTATTATTTTATAGTTCTGGAGTGTAAATGTCCAAACTGGGTTTCTCTGGGCTGAAATTAAGGCATCAGCAGGTATGTGATCCTTTCTGAAAGTTCTAGGTAAGAATTCATTGCCTTGCCTCTTCCAGCTTCAAAAGGCTGATTGCAAAGCATCCTCTCATGTTCAGAGCCACAATGGCAGGTTGAGACTTCCTCACACAGCATCTCTCTGACACTGGCTCCTCTGAGGCACTCTTCCACATTTAGGAACTCTTGTGTTTACCTTGGGCCTACCATAATAATCCAGGATGATCTTCCTATTTTAAGGATTTCCCATTTTAATTCTATCTGTAATCTTAATTCTCCTTCACAATGTGAGATACAGGTTCTGGCAAGTATAACTTGTAGTATATGGACATCTTTTGTTGGAGAGGAGGATGGCATTATTCTGCCTATTATAAATATTTTGGGTGAGTAAAAGGCATATATCATTATTTTATGGAAAAACAGTAGAAACAAAAAATAATTTTAAAATGAAGATTTAGTTAAGTGAGAGAAAAGTAAGGACAGAGTGCAGGGCTTATTTTAGCAAAGAATGAAATCTCTAAATCCTTAAAAATGTCTTACATGTATTTAGACACCCAGCTCAAATATCAACACTATCCTTATATAAAACTTTTTTTTGAAAATGTGGCACATATACACGATGGAATGCTATGCAGCCATAAAAAAGGATGAATTCATGTCCTTTGCATGGACATGGATGAAGCTGAAAATCATCATTCTCTTCAAACTAACACAAGAACAGAAAACCAAACACTGCATGTTCTCACTCATAAGTGGGCATTGAACAATGAGAATACATGGACACAGGGAGGGGAACATCACACACTGTGACCTGTCGGGGGGTGGGGGGCTAGGGGAGGGATAGCATTAGGAGATATACCTAATGTAGATGATGGGTTGATGGGTGCAACAAACCACCATGGCACGTCTATACCTATGTAACAAATCTGCACATTCTGCACATGTATCCTAGAACTGAAGTATAAAAAAAAGTGTAAATCAGAAAACTTATATTATTTCTATGATTATTAAATTAATATAAATAGTGGCTTTCTTATTTAAAAAATTTTAAAAATCGTTTTATTTTCTACTCTGGTAATACATAATAATTATTAATCACTTAATTAAAGTACTTTGTCAAATATATTAATTAATTGAATACTTGCTGTTTTAGTCAAAACAGTGTTCTAAATACTGTGAGTAAAAGAAGAGTGAGTCATAAAATTTTGCGCTGACATTTACAAATTGATAGAAATATTATCATTTATTTTAAAATACATATGTAAAATCACATAAAGATAAATTTGTATTCAATTAAAAAGAAAAATAAAATAGTCACAATTTCAGAGTCTAAGTCTCCAAATAAAGGAAGTCTGGCAATTGTTACATGAAATTTGGACCAAATTAAAGATGGCCACTCTAATTCCTTTATGTTGCGTCTAATGTGGAAAATGATGTGCTTGTATGCTTCAGAAAAGACCCGATAAACCCCATTGTCAAATGGAAACTTGAGAAAACTAAGTGTGGTAGACCAAATTATGGACCCAAAGATGTCCATGCCCTAATCCCTGGTACTTATGAATATGGTTGTTAAACAAAAAGAGGAATTTTGCAAATGTAATTGAAGATATGGACCTTTAAATATGGAGATAATCCTAGATTATCCATTCAGATCAGCCTAAATCTAATCACATAAGCCCTGAGAGACAGAGAACTTTCTCAGTCTGGTGGCCTCAGGCATGAGCCAGAAAGTCAAGTCAGCGATTCCACGTGTGAGGATTTTACACACTGTTGCTGAATCTGAAATAGAGGAAACCATGTGCAAGAACTTGAGAGAGGTTTCTAGAAACTAAGAGAAGCCACCAGCTAACAGACAGAAAGGAAGCAGTAATTTCCGTTATATAGCTTCAAAAAAAAAAAAGAAAAAAAAAAGAAAGAAAAGAAAAAAGATAATCTAATTAAATTCAAAAAGTGATTTTTGGACTGGGTGCTGTGGCTCACTCCTGTAATCCCAGCACTGTGAGAGGCTAAGGCATGCGGATCATGAGGTCAAGAGATCGAGACCATCCGGGCCAACATGGTGAAATCCCATCTCGACTAAAAATACAAAAATTAGCTGGGCATGGTGGTGCGCATCTGTAGTCCCAGCTACTTGGGAGGCTGAGGCAGGAGAATCGCTTGAATCCAGAAGGTGGAGCTTGCAATAAGCTGAGATCGTGCCACTGCACTCCAGCCTGGAGACAGAGTGAGATTCTATCTAAAAAAAAAAAAAAAAAAGAAACCCCCCCAAAAAAGCAGAGTTTTTCCCAGAGCCTCTCCTAACTGCCCAGCCACCTGAAAGCTACTTCAATTTTTGCCTTAATAAACATTGAGCAAAGACACTAGTCAGGTCAAACTTGACTTCTGACAAACAAAACTGAATTGGTGTTGCTTTAAACCAGTAAGAGTTAAAGAATAATAACAACCTTAAAATATATCAAATGGAATGAAATAAAACAGAAATAAATAAAATGTCCTTAACAGAAATACCTGTTAAATGAAATAATATTCAGGGAAGATGAGTATCACCAACATAAACTGAGTGACAGAAGCCAGAAACAAAATAGCAAGTAGTATCTGAGTCCATTTGTATGAAATTCTACTATAGAAGGGGTAACATTTACCTCTAATGACAGCAGATTGATGATTCTCTGAGATGAGGATGGATGTGGGGGGTGATTGCAAAAGAGCACAATGAAATATTTTGATGTGATGGAGGATATATTCTGTATCTTGATTATGGTTCTGGTTACATGGGTGAATACATATTTTCAACTAATCAAACTGTACAATCAAAATGTATTTGTTACAGTTTATGCATATTATACTTAAAAGCCTCTCTTTTTACATGCCACTCTCCAAACTCTTCTCCACATTAAAAAAAGTATTTTTTGTCATCTTAATTTATCATCTTAATAAATTATCATCTTAATTTATGCTTTAACAATGTTCAATGCCTTGTCTCAACCCATTTGAATATATTATTTTCATCTCTTCTTCCCATACCTGCAACACTCTAATAATAGACATGATTTCATTTATTTGAAATCACTGACATCACCTCTTCATTTTGGTCTCCTTTCCCACAAATAGATGAGAAAATATCTGCTATTTTGATCATTTATCCTTGTTTCTTTGGTCCTTTTGTTGCATATATGATGGATTATATTTACATCTTTATTTGACTAATTTTGTACTGTCTGCACTTTATAGTAAGCTGTATATGTCAAAACAGTTTCTACATTCATTTTTCCTGCTGATACGTATTCAGTGCCTAACGCATTGTGTGCCATATATGTTCTGAAATAACTGTGTTGAGTGAAACATTAGGAATTGACAGAAGTAAAATATACCTATTTTAATTATCCTTAGCTCTGCTTAGTTGACAATTTATCTCTGCAAAGTTATAAGTACCTTTAGAGCAGAGGTTATATCGTATTTCTTCACTATATGATCAAGATCAGACACCTAGATATTTGATGAATGTGTTTTTCAAATATTAAATGAAAAAAATGA
Organism: Homo sapiens; assembly: GCF_000001405.40. Lineage (NCBI taxonomy): Eukaryota > Metazoa > Chordata > Mammalia > Primates > Hominidae > Homo > Homo sapiens. The sequence goes on along the minus strand of NC_000013.11, from coordinate 86,653,942 downwards.
ATTCAGTAAACTAAAACTATAAATGTAAAGTTGTAATCATTTTTCTTCAACTCTCATTTTTTTAAATTAAAAAAATGCAATCTGAAAACATTTTCAATTGTGACAAAACAATAACATATATTTTTAAGATTAGCCCATAAAAATGCCTGTAAAATATACATGTTTGTTATCTGTTGCTGTAATAGTCAAATAACTATGCAGCATTAATTTATAATGAAAATTATCAGTCTTGTTAATATAAAGCCTTTTTTGTTATTTAAGGAACAATTAGTAGAAATTCTGTACTAACTTCAGGTGATTTATCACCAAGAGAATGATGAAAATGGAAAATGATACAGTTAATTGTTTGAACCATAGAACTATCATATATGTCTCATTTGACTGGTTAAGTAAAATGTTGTCTGCCAGTGTCATGAGAGTGGAGTAAAAATGTGTTCTAAATATTTTGAAAGAGAAAAAAATACTCAGCCTACATTTTAATGCTGTATAATTGATTGGGCGTATAAGGGTTGTCTTGAAGAAGTTTATACATTATATTTTATATGTTATGGTAGTATTCTTAGGTATGGGCAATAACTTGTTTCTAGAGATACCAAGTTTTATTAGCATCCACCTTCAAGTGTAAGGTGCTCATACATTAGGTCATGGTAATTTTCCCTGAGGAATCTGGCAGATTATGCAGACAATGATAATGACTATAATGTTCTTTTGACAAGGAAATGTCACACCATAAATGTGTCATTTAGAATTCTTCATTGAATAAGATCATCACTGACAGAGCATTTTTGTTTCCCTTTTAGAAAATGACCTCATAAATGATAAATGTCTTCAAGTTTCTGTGTTCTGATATAAATGGCACTTCCTACTGAAACATGAACTTTTAACAGATCATTCATGAGTACTCTGACAAAGTAAGGGCTATAGACACCCTTAGAAGCACAATAAGAGTCCAACACTTTCCCAAGAGAAAGCAATTATAAGGGCAAACATATCCATTAAGAATGGCTTCAAGAGTGTTCAAATATTGCAATATACAAATTTATTATTTTTAAACTATTTATTGAGTTCCTTGCATGCTCTAGGCATGATTTTAGGTGCAGAAGTTTTTTTTTTTTTTTTTAAGTCAATATGTTTTTTAATAGAAAAAGAGATCCAAAGGAGAAGTGATGTGTTCTTCCAAAGTGGCTGCAGGGGAGATGCAGCAAAGTTGTCAGGGAAGCCATCCATTGAAATGTATGAATATAAATTCTGGATGATGAATATAAATTATGTAAGTGGAAATGAGGAATGAATTGGATGGTGTCATGTGTGAAAATTATGAAGCAACATCTAATAAATCGAAGAAGTATTGGAACTACAAGATACCCTAGATTTAAATTCAATAAATAAATTATTGGAGTCTTCTAACTTTGAGGGTATTCTTTGCACACTTTTATTAATTATCACTTAGGTCAACACAATGTGGGTTAGGATGATAACGTGGACTCTGTTGTTCTAAGTTGCCAATTTGAAAGCTTTTTTATTAAATAAAATCCCTAAGCTCACCTATTATATCCTTTTTCAACATGATTCCTAAGATAGAATTTGCATATAATAAAATGCATCTATTTCAAGAGCACTGTTTTATTTTTGACAAGTGTGCGTACTCAGGTTTCTACTGCCGCATTCAAGGTATTCAAATATTCATCAGCAGTGAGGCCTCCTTCTCTCCTATGATTTTATGTGTGAGTTCATGGGAGAGTATGCTCCATGGGACTATTGAATTTCTTCATATAATAAGAGTGAGACACTGACTTACCTTTATTCCAGATCGACTTTTAAAGGTTATTTTTTACAACAAATGGATTTACAGGAAAGAGAGAACCTTCCCTAAGAATAAATGGCAGGCATATTTGCTATCATTTACGATAAAGTTAATGTCTTCCACCAAAAAAAAGGACAGGCATGTGTATTGCCTATTTTTAAAGATTCAAATTCCCTAAGCTCAGAGTCCCCCACTGTAACACAGCTGAGTGTGTGCAGGTGTCATCTAACCCTCCTCTCCAAGCCATGTGGGAACTGGCTCAGGAAACTTAAGGCTAAAATGCTAATACTCTGTCAACTGCTATTTTATTTCGGTGAATAATAAATTAAAATTTGTCCTTTAGAGATTTCCCCCTTTTTTTTTTTTTTTAGGCGGAGTCTCCCTCTGTTGCCCAGGCTGGAGTGCAGTGGCGTGATCTCGGCTCACTGGCAAGCTCCGCCTCCCGGGTTCACGCCATTCTCCTGCTTCAGCCTCCCGAGTAGCTGGGACTACAGTTGCCCACCACCACGCCCGGCTAATTTTTTGTATTTTTAGTAGAGACAGAGTTTCACCATGTTAGCCAGGATCCTTTAGAGTTTATCTGCTTTATGAGTATTCGTGAAACAGCAGCTGGCTAAATTATTAGCTGGCAAGTATATAAAACCTCAGACCCAGGTGCCGTCTGTCACCCCTTTCTTTGACTAGGAAAGGGAACTCCCTGACCCCTTGTGCTTCCTGAGTGAGGCAATGCCTTGCCCTGCTTTGGCTCACGCACAGTCTCGCTGATTGCTAGCACAGCAGTCTGAGATCAAACTGCAAGGCAGCAGCAAGGCTGGGGGGAGGGGCACCCGCCATTGCCCAGGCTTGCTTAGGTAAACAAAGCAGCCTGGAAGCTCTAACTGGGTGGAGCCCACCACAGCTCAAGGAGGCCTGCCTGCCTCTGTAGGCTCCACCTCTGGGGGCAGGGCACAGACAAACAAAAAGACAGCAGTAACCTCTGCAGACTTAAATGTCCCTGACAGCTTTGAAGAGAGCAGTGGTTCTCCCAGCACGCACCTGGAGATCTGAGAACGGACAGACTGCCTCAGGTGGGTCCCTGACCCCTGACCCCCGAGCAGCCTAACTGGGAGGCACCCCCCAGTAGGGGCAGACGGACACCTCACACGGCCAGGTACTCCTCTGAGACAAAACTTCCAGAGGAACGATCAGACAGCAGCATTCGCGGTTCACGAAAATCCACTGTTCTGCAGCCACTGCTGCTGGTACCCAGGCAAACAGGGGCTGGAGTGGACCTCTAGCAAACTCCAGCAGACCTGCAGCTGAGGGTCCTGTCTGTTAGAAGGAAAACTAACAAACAGAAAGGACGTCCACACCAAAAACCCATCTGTACATCACCATCATCAAAGACCAAAAGTAGATAAAACCACAAAGATGGGGAAAAAACAGAGCAGAAAAACTGGAAACTCTAAAAAGCAGAGTGCCTCTCCTCCTCCAAAGGAACACAGCTCCTCACCAGCAACGGAACAAAGCTGGACGGAGAATGACTTTGACGAGTTGAGAGAAGAAGGCTTCAGACGATCCAACTACTCCAAGCTACAGGAGGAAATTCAAACCAAAGGCAAAGAAGTTGAAAATTTTGAAAAAAAATTTAGACGAATGTATAACTAGAATAACCAATACAGAGAAGTGCTTAAAGGAGCTGATGGAGCTGAAAGCCAAGGCTCGAGAACTACGTGAAGAATGCAGAAGCCTCAGGAGCCGATGCGATCAACTGGAAGAAAGGGTATCAGTGATGGAAGATGAAATGAATGAAATGAAGTGAGAAGGGAAGTTTAGATAAAAAAGAATAAAAAGAAACGAACAAAGCCTCCAAGAAATATGGGACTATGTGAAAAGACCAAATCTACGTCTGATTGGTGTACCTGAAAGTGACGGGGAGAATGGAACCAAGTTGGAAAACACTCTGCAGGATATTATCAAGGAGAACTTCCCCAATCTAGCAAGGCAGGCCAACGTTCAGATTCAGGAAATACAGAGAACACCACAAAGATACTCCTCGAGAAGAGCAACTCCAAGACACATAAATTGTCAGGTTCACCAAAGTTGAAATGAAGGAAAAAATGTTAAGGGCAGTCAGAGAGAAAGATCGGGTTACCCACAAAGGGAAGCCCATCAGACTAACAGCGGAACTCTTGGCAGAAAGTCTACAAGCCAGAAGAGAGTGGGGGCCAATATTCAACATTCTTAAAGGAAAGAATTTTCAACCCAGAATTTCATATCCAGCCAAACTAAGCTTCATAAGTGAAGGAGAAATAAAATCCTTTACAGACAAGCAAATGCTGAGAGATTTTGTCACCACCAGGCCTGCCCTAAAAGAGCTCCTGAAGGAAGCAGTAAACATGGAAGGGAACAACCGGTACCAGCCACTGCAAAATCATGCCAAATTGTAAAGACCATCGAGGCTAGGAAGAAACTGCATCAACTAACTAGCAAAATAACCAGCTAACATCATAATGACAGGATCAAATTCACACATAACAATATTAACTTTAAATGTAAATGGACTAAATGCTCCAATTAAAAGACACAGACTGGCAAATTGGATAAAGAGTCAAGACCCATCAGTGTGCTGTATTCAGGAAACCCATCTCACGTGCAGAGACACACATAGGCTCAAAATAAAAGGATGGAGGAAGATCTACCAAGCCAATGGAAAACAAAAAAAGGCAGGGGTTGCAATCCTAGTCTCTGATAAAACAGACTTTAAACCAACAAAGATCAAAAGAGACAAAGAAGGCCATTACATAATGGTAAAGGGATCAATTCAACAAGAAGAGCTAACTATCCTAAATATATATGCACCCAATACGGGAGCACCCAGATTCATAAAGCAAGTCCTGAGAGACCTACAAAGAGACTTAGACTCCCACACAATAATAATGAGAGACTTTAACACCCCACTGTCAACATTAGACAGATCAACGAGACAAAGTTAACAAGGATACCCAGGAATTGAACTCAGCTCTGCACCAAGCGGACCTAATAGACATCTACAGAACTCTCCACCCCAAATCAACAGAATATACATTTTTTTCAGCACCACACCACACCTATTCCAAAATTGACCACATAGTTGGAAGTAAAGCTCTCCTCAGCAAATGTAAAAGATCAGAAATTACACAAACTGTCTCTCAGACCACAGGGCAATCAAACTAGAACTCAGGATTAAGAAACTCACTCAAAACCGCTCAACTGCATGGAAACTGAACAACCTGCTCCTGAATGACTACTGGGTGCATAACGAAATGAAGGCAGAAATAAAGATGTTCTTTGAAACCAACGAGAACAAAGACACAACATACCAGAATCTCTGGGACGCATTCAAAGCAGTGTGTACAGGGAAATTTATAGCACTAAATGCCCACAAGAGAAAGCAGGAAAGATCCAAAATTGACACCCTAACATCACAATTAAAAGAACTAGAAAAGCAAGAGCAAACACATTCAAAAGCTAGCAGAAGGCCAGAAATAACTAAAATCAGAGCAGAACTGAAGGAAATAGAGACACAAAAAACCCTTCAAAAAATTAATGAATCCAGGAGCTGGTTTTTTGAAAGGATCAATAAAATTGATAGACCGCTAGCAAGACTAATAAAGAAGAAAAGAGAGAAGAATCAAATAGATGCAATAAAAAATGATAAAGGGGATATCACCACCAATCCCACAGAAATACAAACTACCATCAGAGAATACTACAAACATCTCTACGCAAATAAACTAGAAAATCTAGAAGAAATGGATAAATTCCTCGACACATACACCCTCCCAAGACTAAACCAGGAAGAAGTTGACTCTCTGAATAGACCAATAACAGGCTCTGAAATTGTGGCAATAATCAATAGCTTACCAACCAAAAAGAGTCCAGGACCAGATGGATTCACAGCCAAATTCTACCAGAGACACAAGGAGGAACTGGTACCATTCCTTCTGAAACTATTCCAATCAATAGAAAAAGAAGGAATCCTCCCTAACTCATTTTATGAGGCCAGCATCATCCTGATACCAAAGCTGGGCAGAGACACAACCAAAAAAGAGAATTTTAGACCAATATCCTTGATGAACATTGATGGAAAAATCCTCAATAAAATACTGGCAAACCAAATCCAGCAGCACATCAAAAAGCTTATCCACCATGATCAAGTGGGCTTCATCCCTGGGATGCAAGGCTGGTTCAATATATGCAAATCAATAAATGTAATCCAGCATATAAACAGAACCAAAGACAAAAACCACATGATTATCTCAATAGATGCAGAAAAGGCCTTTGACAAAATTCAACAACTCTTCATGCTAAAAACTCTCAATAAATTAGGTATTGATGGGACGTATCTCAAAATAATAAGAGCTATCTATGACAGACCCTCAGCCAATATCATACTGAATGGGCAAAAACTGGAAGCATTCCCTTTGAAAACTGGCACAAGACAGGGATGCCCTCTCTCACCACTCCTATTCAACATAGTGTTGGAAGTTCTGGCCAGGGCAATTAGGCAGGAGAAGGAAATAAATTGTATTCAATTAGGAAAAGAGGAAGTCACATTGTCCCTGGTTGCAGATGACATGATTATATATCTAGAAAACCCCATTGTCTCAGCCCAAAATCTCCTTAAGCTGATAAGCAACTTCAGCAAAGTCTCAGGATACAAAATCAATGTACAAAAATCACAAGCATTCTTATACACCAATAACAGACAAACAGAGAGCCAAATCATGAGTGAAATCCCATTCACAATTGCTTCAAAGAGAATAAAATACCTAGAAATCCACCTTACAAGGGACGTGAAGGACCTCTTCAAGGAGAACTACAAACCACTGCTCAATGAAATAAAAGAGGATACAAACAAATGGAAGAACATTCAATGCTCATGGGTAGGAAGAATCAATATAGTGAAAATGGCCATACTGCCCAAGGTAATTTATTATATTCAATGCCATCCCCATCAAGCTACCAATGACTTTCTTCACAGAATTGGAAAAAACTACTTTAAAGTTCATATGGAACCAAAAAAGAGCCCGCATCACCAAGTCAATCCTAAGCCAAGAGAACAAAGCTGAAGGCATCATGCTACCTGACTTCAAACTATACTACAAGGCTACAGTAACCAAAACAGCATGGTACTGGTACCAAAACAGAGATATAGATCAATGGAACAGAACAGAGCCCTCAGAAATAATGTCGCATATCTACAACTATCTGATCTTTGACAAATCTGAGAAAAACAAGCAATGGGGAAAGGATTCCCTATTTAATAAATGGTGCTGGGAAAACTGGCTAGCCATATGTAGAAAGCTGAAACTGGATCCCTTCCTTACACCTTATAAAAAATTAATTCAAGATGGATTAAAGACTTAAACATTAGACCTAAAACCATAAAAATCCTAGAAGAAAACCTAGGCATTACCATTCAGGACATAGGCATGGGTAAGGACTTCATGTCTAAAACACCAAAAGCAATGGCAACCAAAGCCAAAATTGACAAATGAGATCTGATTAAACTAAAGAGCTTCTACACAGCAAAAGAAACTATCATCAGAGTGAACAGGCAACCTACAAAATGGGAGAAAATGTTCGCAACCTACCCATCTGACAAAGGGCTGATATCCAGAATCTACAATGAACTGAAACAAATTTACAAGAAAAAAGCAACCCCATCAAAAAGTGGACGAAGGACGCGAACAGACACTTCTCAAAAGAAGACATTTATGCAGCCAAAAAACACATGAAAAAATGGTTGCCATCACTGGCCATCAGAGAAATGCAAATCAAAACCACAGTGAGATACCATCTCACACCAGTTAGAATGGCAATCATTAAAAAGTCAGGAAACAACAGGTGCTGGAGAGGATGTGGAGAAATAGGAGCACTTTTACACTGTTGATGGGACTGTATAAACTAGTTCGACCCTTGTGGAAGTCAGTGTGGCGATTCCTCAGGGATCTAGAACTAGAAATATCATTTGACCCAGCCATCCCATTACTGGGTATATACCCAAAGGACTATAAATCATGCTGCTATAAAATTCATGCACACATATGTTTATTGCGGCACTATTCACAATAGCAAAGACTTGGAACCAACCCAAATGTCTAACAATGATAGACTGGATTAAGAAAATGTGGCACAGATACACCATGGAATACTATGCAGCCATGAAAAAGGATGAGTTCATGTCCTTTGTAGGAACATGGATGAAATTGGAAATCATCATTTTCTGTAGACTATCACAAGAACAAAAAACCAAACACCGCATATTCTCACTCATAGGTGGGAATTGAACAATGAGAACACATGGACACAGGAAGGGGAACATCACACTTTGGGGACCGTTGTGGGGTGGGGGGAGGGGGGAGGGATAGCTTTAGGAGATATACCTAATGCTAAATGACGAGTTAATGGGTGCAGCACACCAGCATGGCACATGTATACATATGTAACTAACCTGCACATTGTGCACATGTACCCTAAAACTTAAAGTATAATAATTAAAAAAAAAAAAAGGAATAGGCAGGCATGCAGTAACAACAGGTATCTGAGAAAAGTAATAAAAAAGAGAATTTTGAAAATAAATAAATAAATAAATAAATAAAACCTCAGACCCTTCACAGTCCTTGCCAGTTTTGGTGACAATGATGAGATCCTGAAAGAAATATGGCTTCCAGAAGAGGAAGTTTGAGGATACACAGGCCAAGTAATGGGATTTGAGGGAAGACCAGGGAAACAGGTAAAGAACATGTTTGTTAAATCGTATACTCAATCAGGTAATAAGTTGTCCTCTAATTTATTGTATTCTAATGAGGAAGAATTGAGGAGGTGGGTGCTGGCAAATTACTGGAAAGCAGATTCGATAGCAGATGTTGCCAAAATGGTGCTCTGGTTGTTTTAAACCTATGCAGGATTGGAAGCCTTTCTTGATAATTTGGTGTTCAATCTCAGGTCCACCTATTTCGGCCACAGAGTTTTAAAATATGTCCTAAGCTGGAAGTAGTTTCTGATCCTTTTTCAGACAAAATTACAAACATCCATGTACACTGCTTGCAACAAGATGAAACTTCATGATTGCTCTGGGAAGAAACCAGGCAAATTATTAGAACTTTGGATTCTTTGTTTTGCAAATGAGGGAGCATAATGTGTAATGCAAGTTAATGAAAATTGCGACAGCTGAGAAGTCTCATTAAGTAATCCTTCCTACAGTTTATCACACCTACAGTCCATCTAGTGCTAAACTAAGCACTAGAAGACAATAGTAAACATCTCAGAGATTGTTTGTTTGTTCATCCCAGTGGGACCTAGCTGCTACATCTTCTCAGGAAGATTTCCTGAGACAAACAAATTTTTGTAGGAAAATATAGATGGTGGTATGGACTAGTAACTGAGATCTTGTTGCCCCAGCCTAGGTTTACTATGCTGATTAAATTGACACACTAAATAATGAGAAACTGATGCAAAGACATCTAGGTAAAATCTTGATGACCTTCAGCCATGAAAAAGTTCCCAAGTCATTATATTGTCACTAGGCAAGAAGCAAAGAAATACTTTCATGTTAATGGGGCTGCAAATGCCCCCAATTTGCAGTCATTGGTAAAGTTTCTGCAGTGTGAGCTAAGTTTATATAAATTACAGAGCACAAACTTGTGGTTCCAGCCAGAAAGTAATGTAGCTATAACTGTTTACAAAAGTTTCACAAAATTCCCAATGCTGAAATAGAGTGACTGCCATGAATACCTCACACCTGATAAAAAGTGAATGGCAGGTCAAAAATAATTGAAAGTTTCTTTGGTTGAATCATGAGCCTCCACTAAACCAGTTGCTACCAAAAGCACATCTAAATGATTGTTGAGGATTTTGGAGCTAGTCTCTTCCTCCATACTCCTACCAATCCCTCTGATATGGTTGGGCTTGTGTCCCCACTCAAATCTCATCTTGAATTGTAATTCCCAGGTGTTGAAGGAGAAACCAGATGGGAGGTGATTGAATCATGATGGCGGTTTCCCCCATACTGTTCTCGTGATAGTGAGTTCTAATGAGAGGTGATGGTTTTATAAGCACCTGGCATTTCTCCTGCTCACAGTTCTCTCTCCTGCCTCCATGTGAAGAAGGTCCTTGCTTCCTTCACCTTCTGCCATGATTGTAAGTTTCCTGAGGCCTCCCCAGCCATGTGGAACTGTGAGTCAATTAAACTTCTCTTCTTTATACATTACCAGTCTCAGGTAGTATCTTTATAGCAGTGTGAAAGTGGACAAATACACCCTTCTTCTCCCTCTATCTTCATTTCAGCCTCTTCAAGGACAACGGCAGTTATAAGGTCTTTGGCTGAGGTTTCCCTCCGCCTGAGGAAGACAGAAAGTCATAAAAACTTATCTAAGTATGCTGAGTAATTTCAAGGAGAGGCAGACTCAAACATATGACACCACTGGATATGAGCACAGAAATCAGGACTATGGAAAAAAGAGGCAACTAAACTAAGCTAATAGCATTTGTGCAGGGCTCACAGTAGGGAAGTGCAGTTAAGGAGAACTTGAGGCTGAGGTCATCTGGGCTAATTCCACATACTGTTTTTTTACTGTTTGTGTGTGTGTGTGTGTGTGTGTGTGTGTGTGTGTTCTGCATCTTGACGTATAACTAAAATTGATACGTTATATGTGTGAACTTCCCAGTCTCATAATTGCTGGAAGGAAGCCTTCTGATTGGAAGAGTCATATGTCGAGAAATGCTAGTAGTACACGTGAATTGCTTCCCAATTGTCGGCCTAAGTGTTTTAACAAAATTAGCTCAGGATGCCAGAAGGAGAAAGGAAAATCATAGCCTCAACTAAGGACTAAAATATGCATGGGTAAAAGAGATATAATATGTCAATAACAGCCGTCTACACCTAGTCATAAAGGATATTAAAAATTGGGGATTCAAAGTGCATTATCTTCTACTGAATTCATCTTTTCTCTTATAATTCTGGTGGTTTCAGACATTGTGAATATAACTGAACCATTATACAAATTTAAGATACTTTTAAAAAAGATATTGCCAACATTTTCTTTGCCAGTAACAGAGAATGAAGATCAATTTGCATGTACTTGGCAATATCTCCATTATACTTCGTAGTATCCCCTCTCTTTTGCTACTACTCGGTGGAGCAGAATTTAGCATAAGTGATTCTACACTCTAATGTTAAAAGTACTCAAGTTCAATAATAAGATTTAAAATTGGAAAGAGAGATTAATGTGAATTGTGGGTTGGTTCCTTTGGGCTAATTGAATATAATTTGATTGTTGCTTCCATGTCTGAATGTGTCTTAGAAACTTAATTGTTCTTGACAGTATTCTTAGTCATCTTTCTAGGTAGAAGGTGGATAAAAAAGGAATATTACTTAGGCATTAGATATGTTTCACTAACTTCATGTGTTATTGAGACAGTATCCTGACTGACTAACCTCCAAATTGCTATCACAATGTAAAGATTTTTACTATATTTTAATAAGTAGGAAAATCTTGGAGATAGTTGGAACAAAGCCACTTATATAGCTGGGAAGGGAAAAATGAAAGTAATCAATTTACATTTTTATGTTTTATGATTTCATTAGTAAAAAAAGATAAAAATATACTTGTAAAATATGTATTTAATCATTTTTGCTTTTTTTCAGAAATGTTTTTAAAACTGGACAAGTATAATGCAAACTAAGATTCATTTTCAAAGCATCTATTTTCACTTCATATTGCCTTTCATCTAGGATCTAAGAGCATTTCATGGCTTTTCATGATTTGCCAGAGGCTCAAGATAAATCCAATCTGTACTCATGTCTGTGACACTGTCTGCCCTTTTTTTAATGAACACCCATAGCTTTACTACTATGGTGCAAAATTCTTGACCTGTTATTCTAAAAACAAAACATTCATTAGTGTAGGAGTTTCTATCTAACAGGATTTAATGTTCGAACTGGTTAGGAATACATGTACGGTTAAGAAAGAAAAAGAGAAAAAATATACTTTTAATGTGATTTCTAAAAACCTCCAATAATTGAATATATAGTTAACATAAAATATTGTGTTTACTGTGCTTTGACCTGAGATAGTTATTAAAAATATTGCACCCTTTTTACCTATAACATTCATGCACAAGGCCAAAGAAAAATAAACTAAAGAAATTCAACTTTTCTATCTCTTTTTCAATTGTACCTCCAAGAAAACTGAAAAACATATACTTGCTACCCGCTGCCTGGTAACTCCTCCTGAAGTTTTGTAATTTAGCATTTTTTAAAAGTTTAGTTAGGGAATAATAACAATTAGAATCCTTGGTACCTAGTAAGTAGTTGACAATAATTATTTTTTGTTACTTGTGATGTACAGATAACATGATGTAATATATAATATATTAGAAATGTGCATATGAATAATCCATAAGCAGTTGATACTATGAGGTAAGAAAGAAAAGACGATGTATAGTCTACTGTCATATACAATCATTATTCAAGCAAACTTTGCATTTTACAAGAATCACAATAACAGTAACAGTAATGCTGGTGAATATAATCACAGTCATAAAAACAATTACATGTGTTAGGAGCCATACTAATCCCAAATCATGCACACGATTATTAATTCTACTCATGGTAGAAAATGTAATTAGAAAATAGAATTATGAATTCCTTTTATTTCTGTACTGGGAAACTTGGGTAATCCAGTAAACATCTAAGTCTTAACGTGGCCTAATATGTAAAAGTAAATACCAGTAATTCCTGCTCTAAACAATTTATATAGTTTTCCAGAGAAATAAGTCATTTTGCATGAAAATAATTTACACACTGCAAGGTAATACAAAAATAAAAAAGAACTAGTCACTTTATTAATAATATTTATGGAACCTTCTGCTTGATCCGAATATGAACCAAGGAGCCACAAAAGGTTGGGGGGATAAGAATCGATTGTATATTAAGGTTATATAATGGACAAATTCTATGCAAATGTTCAAGCACACTGCATGCTTTTGTTAAATTCTGTAAGAAACATGTTTATGTAATGTTTCCTTCTTAGTACATGTAGAGGAGAAAATTGACTGAGGGAAGCAGTTTCTACCTGAAAAAAGCAGAAACGAAGGGATGCAGTTGAAAAGAGGGGGCATTTTAAGTGGCTAATGTGAGACAAGTTTTTCATGGCCAGCCGACAGTCCAGGCTCACTGGAGATGTTAACAGGTCTCAAGATGAGAGCTTGGAACCAAAGCAGTTGAGTTTCCTGGGTAAACCTTGTATAGTCATTATGTCTCAGACATCAAGCACAGAGGTCATCTTCTACAATTGCCTTGTAAACATGATCACTCCATATTCTGGGGTTTTAGTTGGACACTATTAAAATAATTCCTCTTGAGAAAGGTTAAAAATAATATCTATGATAGCTAATATAAAAAGATAATATGTGAATGCATATGCATACATATTATATATATACATATTATATGTATGCATATGCATTCACATATTATCTTTTTCTTTCAGAGTGACAGGAATTATATATTATCTGAGTCAATAATTTATATGTAGGGGTCTAGATTTGGAGACTCTTTGTCATGTATCTAGCTAGAGTTATTCTTTTCTCATAAAATATCAGTGTTGTAGAATATTTGACACAATGAAAATCCCAGAGGAGAAAGTGGTAACTTTCAGACATATTGCAGGAATGAATTGAACACAGATACATTTCTTCAATTCCAACATATTAACTATAAAGTACAACAAACAAAAAAGGCAATGACAAAAATGGGAACGTTAAGCCATTTTTTATGAAACAACTATGGATTTAATGTAATTGCTAATCACAGTTTGGTAAAATGAAGACAGCTTTTCAGATGATGAAGGTGTGAATTGCAAAGAATATTTAGTAGAAAGCATATGATGCAAATAGAATATAACATGAAGTAGGACAGAAACATTATCTTTAATAATATATTGATTAGGGTAACTCCAAATTTATGAATTCGAGAGACTAAAATAAAATAAAATAAAATAAGGTATATGTAGTTTATGCATAATAAATCTATTTGTACTCTATGTATTCTCGACAACTTTCAATGTTTCTATTAATTTCTTAAGCATTTGTTGAAATGTTCCTGTTTCCTTTATTTCCTTGTCCCAGTTCAGTCCTTCACTTGATCTTAGCATGTCCTGTCAAGTCGCTGTTAAAAGGGAATCAGCAGTTTACAGCAGATACACTTATGTTAAGTTCTTTATCTTTATCCCTATCTGATCCCAGAAAGAAAACTTAGAGCTATGTATCTTAACAACATTTCATACTATGGAAGCCTATCTTGGAAAAATGAAATATTAAAGTTGACAGTCAAGCTCTTTCTATAAATTTGCTTAAAAGCGACTGACAAAAATAGAAAGGAGTTTATTCAACAAGCATATTTCTCACGCAGCATATATGAGCTAAGATAAATGTTTAAAGCATTAAATATTTTATCCATATGGAAGCACCTAACACTTTTCCCCCAAAGATAGTATGGCTGCATCACTTACAGGCATCTCAAAAATCACTTCCCTCTCCTCGTACATTTCAAAGTTTGCTTCTTATAAATGTTCCTTACCAAAGAGAGCGCTGAACTTCTGCAGAAACAAAACAAAACAAAACAAAACAGACAAACAAAAAACTCAGTCACTTATATTATTCTAAGTAAGCTACCATAATGCCATAATGCTTTTTACATACAAATTGTTAAAACTAATTATGAAGTATTTGAAACTTTGAGTGTGAACTTATGTACATTTTTACTTAAAATTTTATTGACACATATATCTACAAATTTTAAATAGAATATTTAGAGCACCCATTTAAGAAATGTATTACTAGAGAGAAAAGTTATTTTTATAGCAGTAATAAATGATTAAAATTATCTTCTACAAATTGTTAAATTTCCTTTTCTTTGGCTATAATAATAATACATATGCATGTTTGTAAATACATATATATGTGTGCATAGACATATAAACAGATATTTTATTCAGACACACATATGTATGGATATATGTGTATGCATATGTATATAAGTATATATAAGTTATTTAATAATGCACAATAAGTTAGAACTTCTCAATGGTTAAACTCTCTTGAATTTAAGCAATAAGGTTATTTCATTTAGAATAACAATGTTATCTTATTCATTGAAAAATATACCAGGATAAAGGCTAAATACTTCCTAGGAATAAAGCAAAATATTTATTTCATTTTAGTTCTACATAAGTAAATTTAAAAATGTGCATCTGGTAACATTTCCGTTAGACTTGAATCTTTACCTATCCCTAAGTTTGGAGAATAAGTAGTTGAGTTAAGATAAACACTGGGTTCCTGGGGAAACTATTTTATTTTTTTCTAGAAAAGGTCTGAAAGGCAACTTCAAGGACAACAAGTTTTTCTAAAACTTCAATGTATTTTTACATTTAATATAACTAGCTAATTATTTTCCAAACTTGATAGCGTAACTTAAAATTAGATTATAAATTTGTAAAATCATCAATTTTATCTTTTCCAACATTGGGGAAGTTCCTTGCCCTCTATTGTTTCTCTAGACTAAATGTCCCTGGACAAACATGCAATTGTACGAGAAGGTATAGCTTGGATGAGAAGAGAAGACACATATATTACCCAAAGAAATATTACCTTCACTGAGGCTATTAGTTAATCATTTCCCATGGAACAAATAAATCCTTAAAGAGACAAAAATGTTTATTGGAAATAATTACTTGAATAATTATCTTGAATGATAATTTGACAATAAACATAATTTGCATATTTTAATTTATATAATTTACTACAAATTTAACTTGTTCATCTGAACTTATTCATATTTGTAAATGAAGATAAACTAGTATTTATACCTAAAAACTTTTTCTCTCAGAAATATTTTGTCTTACAATTGAGAATCATAAACAATTTTAGTTTTCACAATGTATTTGTTAATATGAATGAATGTTCAGAAATTAGAAAAAATCATGACTGGATCAAGACTATGATATACACAGTGTAATAAGTGAGCTACCAACTGGTTCTACCCATTCAAATATTTAGATTTTCCTAACTCTTAAAAGTAGTAATTGCCAATGCTCATTACATCTGGTACCTCAAATTATGGTGAACTTGTATGATAACCCATAATTGGCTTTTCTTATGCATTTGTACAGTAGCCATCTTTTATTTCCATCCTCTTTTGAAAGTTTTTATATTTTTGTCCCTCTGTGAGGGTGCTTGTCCCTCTTGTAATTTGGCTCTCCTGGCTGTTTTGTTTCTCAGACGCAGTCGAGAAAAGTTGAGATTTAGTACATATTTTCCAGATTAATTTAGGAGGATTTTTTTGTAGCTTCTACCTTTTAAGAAGTAGGACTCTCAAATAACAATTGAATAGGAGGAATGTAGGTGTCAGGCTGATGAAGATGGTTGATGTTAATGACTCACTGCTCGTTTTGCTCTGCTTAGCATCTGAACACACTTATTTTATGGGAGGTATATAGGAATCTGGGTCCTTCCACGTTCTTTGCATGCCAAAGAAAAGTCAGGTATGTGTATATTTTCTGGTAGTAGGGTAAAAGAATGTGAACAAGGGTTAGCCCAAGAAATATGCCTGGCCATAGCACCCAATGTGGAGGAAAAGACCTGTACAGTGGGTCAACTTTTCTTATCTGAAGGTTCAGCAGGACTGACTTCAGGACTTGAGAATGCAGGTTTTGATATCCCTGGGGGGTCCTAGAACCTATCAGCTGCACATCTTGAGAGACAACAATATTAATAATATAGTTACCATTAGAATAGGGAGATATTGTGGTGCATAGTAGTAAGAAAATAAGTGCTCCTGTCATAGCAAAGAATTTATGGCTAAGTCATCAAAAGAAATAGCAATGAAAACAAAAATTGACAAGTGGAATCTAGTTAAACTAAAGAGCTTCTGCACAGCAAAAGAAACTATTAATAGTGTAAACAGACAACCCAGAGAAATGGAAGAAAACATATGCATCCAACAAAGATCTAATCCAGAATTTATAAGGAACCTAAAGAAGTCAACAAGCAAAAAACAAATAATCCTATTAAAAAGTTGGCAAGGCGGGGCATGGTGCCTCATGCCTGTAATCCCAGAACTTTGGAAGGCCCAGTCGGGCAGATTGCCTGAGGTCAGGCGTTCTAGACCAGTCTGGCCAATATGGTGAAACCCTTTCTCTACTAAAAATAAAAAAAATATTAGTCAGACATGGTGGCATGCACCTGTATTCCCAGCTACTGAGGAGGCTGAGGCAGGGGAATTGCTTTAATCAGGGAGGTGGAGGTTGCAGTGAGCCGAGATTGTGCCACTGCACCCCAGCCAGGACAACAGAGAAAGACTCCATCTCAAAAAAAAAAAAAAAAAAAAAAAAAAAAAAAAAGTTTGGCAAAGGACATGAACAAGCACTTCTCAAAGAAGACATGCAACACAAAGAGCAGTGAACGAATATAAGAAAAATTCTCATAATCACTAATCATCATCAGAGAAATGCAAATTAAAATCAAAATAAGATACCAGCTCACACCAGTCAGAAGGGCCATTATAAAAAAGTCAAACAATAACAGATATTGGTGAGCCTGCAAGTAAAGGGGATGCTTTTATACTGTTGGTAGGAAGATAAACTGGTTCAGCCACTTTGGAAAGCAATTTGGAGATATCTCTAAGAACTAAAAAGAGAATGACCATCCTACCCAGCAATCCCATTACAGGGTATATACCCAAATAAATAAATTGTTCAAAATAAATTTATTTTGAACCAAAAGACCAAAAAGACCCATGCACTTGCAAAAGACCCATGCAAAAAGATCGCAGCACTATTCACAATGGCAGACGTGGAATCCACCTAGGTGTGCATCAGTGGAGGATTGGATAAATAAAATGTGGTATATACACACCATAGAATACTATGCAGCCATAAAAAAGAATGAAATCACATCCTTTACAGCAACATGGATGCACTGGAGGCCACTATTCAGAGCAAATTAACTCAGGAACATAAAACCAAATACTGCATGTTCTCACTTACAAGTGGGAGTTAAACACTGGGTACACATGGACATAGAGATGGCAACAATAGACACTGGAGACTACAAAAGGGTGAGAAAGATGGGGAAAGGGTAGAAAAACTACCTATTTGGCACTCTACTCGCCTCCCGCATCATGAGTTCAAGTATACCACAAACCTCAGCATCACACACTATACCTTTGTAACAAACCTGCAAGTGTGCACTATGAATCTAAAATAAAAGTTGAGAGAAAAAAAGTGCTCTTGATTTACTTTAGGTGGATGACTGAGTTGGTCCTGAAATAGGCTAAATTAACAGCAGAGCATGAGGAATACAACTACTGCAGAATGAACTAACAGCTTCTAACTCTGCTGCAGAGTAAAGGAAAAGAACTATATTCTCTAGGCTTAAATTTTCTACTCAAGGGCTGGCTATATAACAGCATATTCAATGACTACTCCACAATATCTTTAATCACTTAAACTCACTGAGTTTTTGTAATTAAGAATCTGATTCTGTTTATTCTGTTGTTGAGAGTTGCTGAATCACAATAGCTGTATTTGAATACATATATTCCTAATATGTGTAATCTCAGCCTAACATAGAAAACTAATGACCAAGTAAAACAAAACTTCAAGCCTTATACTCTAAAATCTTCAATTTTTTCAACTTTTCCACTCACAAAACTAAATCAGGTAAATAGATATAGGTTATTGACAATTTATGAATAGGTGTATACTTACCAGACACTGTTTTCACGACGTTAGCTCCAATAGGATTGCATCCAAATCTTTGCTGCCGTGAAAGTAGCACCATATTCCTGGGGAAACTGCCAATAAAAGTAAGAATCACCATTAAAAACTTAAAGGATTCAGGAGTGGCAGTTTTTAATCTCTTACTTAATTACTTTGCCCAAATTGGCCTGTTCTGATATCAGATGGTTCTTAGGTTCTGGCAAGGCATTATTGTAATCTGAATCAGATGGTGTATACAACTGCACTGTTGCTGTTCTAGTTATGTTCTTTTTGCTGGAGAAAAGCAAAACAGTCACTTGGACCCTGGCTTCTAGCTATTGCCTATCAAACGCCTTTTCAGATGAAAATAAAATTTAATTTTTCCTAACAGTTCAGAAAGTATAGCTCAATGGTTTTGTGTTAATGCTTTGCCTTTCTGGATATGTTCTATAACTTATTCATAGGGATTTTTGAGGAAATCATGCTGATCCACTAAGTAATAAAATGGTTTTGTAGAACTTGCTAGAGAGGAAATATGAGATAAAGTACAAGCACATAGGGTGCCTTTCTAAAATACCTTTCCCTAGAAGTTAAGATGTACACTTCATTATATTTAATGTCATGCCACCCCCATAATCTAACTTTTGTCTGCTTTTCTAGACTGTATCAGGATGTCTTCTCAAAAAGTAAAAGTCAAATATAGATATCTTATGTTACAAAGACTAAGAAAGTACTTGATGGTCTCTTAACTTTGTTGGTAACATAACTGCATTCAGTTTGTGACTTCTACCCAGTGAGGAATTGAATTTGCCAAGGGATACACAAATGGATCTGTTTAATGGAATATTTGGATTGCAATTTGAACATTATTTGTAATCCTCATGCCACTGGCCAAATGGAGCATAAGTAAAAGAGAAAGAATGTTTTGCTGTTGGAACAGAAGAACAAAAGAGCAGGAAGGATGATAGAAATAAATAGAAGAGAGAAAGAGAGGAAATTATTTTTGAGTTGCATGAACTGAAGGTGATTAAAAACAAAAATAATACTGTATTGTATGAAAGAATATAAGCTTTTTTTTTTACTACTCCATCATAGGATAAAACCAAAATTAGGTCAAACCCCAAAAGAAATTATTTTCAATAATAAAAAAATGAGTCATTCATGAAGTAAAAAATATCCCTGATGAAGATGTTGAATGACAAGAGAAATTGTAATTAGTAACTATATCTTTGCGGCTAGTTTTATAAACAAGAATTATAATATTTGCCCATGTTTTCCTTAATAGACTCCTTTGTTTTAGTATGCGATCATATATTTAGCATTTTCCCTGCTCCATTTCACCAGCTCTTCATGATAGGGCTTGTGGGTGAAGATTGTAATTTAGCTCAGTGATTACAGGCTAGGTTGTGATTTTTAATAGATGGGATGTGAACATTGCCTAAAGATGGATTTAGTGACTGATGATACTTGGATTTTCAGTCTTAAGTGGCTAATGTGATTATAATTATTTGAAAGAAAGAAATATTATGCTACATGGAAGCATGCTGTTGGTTGATATGTCTGTAGTTGCAAATTGTAAGTTAGAAGAAGGCTGTCTATGGGGGTTTCAGAAACAAATGTTTGGCCTATTGCTGATTACTGCAGATTGGCTCACTTAGTACTAATTCCATATAACTATATTTAGTAAGTCCCTTGCAGCTTGAATTCACATGACATAGGTTTTGCCAAGCAGAAATAAAAGAGAAAGACAAGAAGGATGAAAGTAAGCACTGTGAATTAGTGGGCACAAATGGGTCATTGTTTTATGCCTTAGTGGTATTTCGTGATCTTGGATCACGTGTGGCAAAGGAACTACTATCCAGTCCCTAGCATTGTGTCAGAAAGAAACCATTAACAATAGGAATGCTTTCCTACCACAGAGTACATTAGTCTAGTTAGGTGTTTCCCCTAGCTGCCCCGTTACTGAATTAAAAACAAACAGTTTCATTCTCTAGCCCTACCAGAAATTCCAATAAATGCATAATAGATTATATTAAGTTCATTATGGCTCAAATTAATTGTCAGAGTTACCTGCTATTAAGATTTCCAATAAATACATTGACAAACTAGGGTACATTCCAGAAATGCAATGATGGTTTAGTTGTATAGATTGTAACATATTTCCTTGATTTAAAGAGACAAAGGAAAAAATAAGCAAAGATATATTAGTTTCCTAATAGTTACCTCAAAGCAATAGATAACTATTTTCATGTATCCAGATATAAAAATTAAAAATTAAATTAAATTACACATTTGTCTAAGTGGACTAGATACCCACTGCACGTGTGATGGAGCTTAAATACTAAGAATGTAATTAAAGTTAGAAGAAAAGACAAGAATGCTTGCAATCACAGGTAATACTCAACTTCCTTTGGCGGTACTCTTCATTAACATTAAATCACTAAAAAGATATCAGCATAAAAATTATTATCTCACAATGTTTATAGTTTGAACTTCTAAAATGTCCAGGGAAATCAACTACAACAAAAATAAAATTAGTAATAATTACCAAAATTTGGCAAAATAATTGGTAAATGCAAGAGAAACAACTTTCTTTTTATGCCAAAAAATAAATAACAGAAAATGTAATGGGAAATAGTGCATGCAGTCACAAGAATTTTAAATTAGGCAAACATTGGCTGAAGTGCTGGGTATTGATTGGAGGGTGTGGAAGGAGCTCAGAAAACAAAGGAAAATTCATAGTGGATTCTATACCTTTGGGATCTTAGCTCAGACTGAAGCCCACCTATTGCGTTGGTTTCAGGAGGAAAAAGTGGAGAAGCCCATGTTTGGGAACCATGATGTCTTAGATTCCACTGAGACTAAAAACCAAAGGACATTCCCAGTGATATGAATGTTGTATAGCCCCTGCTAAATTAGTATAACCCTAGGGATGTTAATAGACTTTACCATTGTCACCAAGTTTAATTGCTTGCCTCGTCTTTTGTCTATCTATCTATCTATCTATCTATCTATCTATCTATCTATCTATCTAATCTATCTATCATCTATCTATGTGCATGTCTTTGTGTGTTAACATCCCTTGAGGGAAAAAATTCCATATTATTTTCATTAGGGAAAAACTCAGATCCACTACTTTTTAGCACTTCTTGGGGTATATTTTAGAACTGTTGGAAGCAGCTGCCCTAAACCCAGTGCACTATGATAATTTAAACCGAAAGTTTATATTCAATATTTGGAAGACTATATTTTTCTGATATTTTCCTTGATTGATCACTTCACTACTAAGTAAAAGTATTCAAAATTACTCAGTTTGTATTAAAGCTATACTACTTCACTATACTTGAAATTTAGCTAATTTTCAACCCCAATTAATTTATTGTAGTTGAATTATTTTTTTGTTTGGAACATATCTAATGCTAATGAAATATTATTCTATTAAAACACAATATAGGTCGGGTGTGGTGGCTTACGCTTGTAATCCCAGCACTTTGGGAGGCCGAGGCAGGTGGATAACCTGAGGTCAGGAGTTTGAGACCAGCCTGGCCACCATGGCAAAACCCCGCTTCTATTAAAAAATACAAAAACTAGCCGGGTGTGGTGGTGCACGCCTGTACTCCCAGCTACTTGTGGCGCTAAGACAAGAGAATCGCTTGAACCCAGGAGGTTCAAGTGATTGAACCTGTGGAGGTTGAAGTGAGCCAAGTTCGTGCCCCTGCACTCTAGCCTGGGCGACAGAGCGAGACACAGTCTCAAAAAAAAAAAAAAAAAAAAAAGAAAACAATATAACTAAAAATGGCAAAAACTGCAATTACGTTTGCAACAACCTAATATTTTTGTGACTCAAAATAATAGCATGTGTTCAAAGGTGTTAAGGGGTGCTTTGCAGTTGCTTCGTAGTGCAAAAAAATAGAAACAAAATGAGAAAATAGAAAACAGGGAGTTAACTGACAAATTTTTCCCCATCTAATCATCAGATGTTCAAGAAATTATAATTTTTAAAAACACCTAAATAACATTTTTGAAGGTGCTTTGAAATCAAGAAAAATATATATATTCTTCTATTGAATATCATTAGTTATAGTCATCTAAAATAGAGCTTTATTATGATAATTTTTTTATGCATTCAATCTTGAAAGTTTAAAAAATATAATTCTGCTTTGGGAGTTTATGCAATATGAACTGTGTCAAAATAAGAAGAAGCAGAAATATTCCAAGCAGGAATCTGAAAGGTCTTTTAAGAACTAATCTATGTTTAATAGTCAACCAAGGGTTTTATTTGCATTGTTATAAATTATATTGTAAGAAAAGCAAAAAAGAAACACTTTTTTCCCAAATATATAATTTAATTTCATTCTTTCAACAATACATGTTCAGACTTCAGAGTACCGATCATTGCACATTAAAAAAATAAATAAATACAATTTAAAAATACCAATATGTATTCCTTATGCATCAAGTATATGCCATTATCTCAGGTAGTAGGAACTCAGTGGAAATCAGTCTCATATTTTACTTTCATAGTGCTTATGGTGTAATGACAGGGAGTGATTTAACTATGCTGCTATATCCCTTGTTTATATTTATTTGTCCTAAAGAAGACACACACACACACACACACACACACACACACACACACACACACGTTCTAAGTTTGCTTTGAAAACATGCACTAAAAGTGTAACCCCTATGGTAGAATAATTAAATAGTTTTGATGAAGGATAGAATATTTTACGCAGTTTTACTCTAATTTGTTATTTCTTGCTACACATTTTTCTAAGTTGACACCAAGACTGAGCCTCTCACTAAGAACTTATTCACAGTTTTCAGTTGTTCCCTATCAACTGCACAGTCAACCGCAATAAACAGTCCAGCTATCTACTGATGTAGGGGTGCCCTTTACCTTCCTGTGCAGAGTAGAGTCAAAGACATTCAAGTGTACAGATAAAGGTTCAATTCTGTACAGACCGGTAGCTGAAGTTCAGAGAAACGTTCAATTGTGCAGGTACCAGTAGGTGAAGTTTGGTGTTTTTGTTCCTTGCCTCTCTCCCCAAATTTTTGAGAGAAAGATCTATCATTTCTATCTTCAGATCAACTTTTCCATGGCAATTCAACAGAGAAAAGTTAACTTTTCCAATAAATGGCTCTCAAGCAATTGAACATTCAGAAGGGGACAGAATAAAGCTCAATCTAAGTCTTGCACCTTATAAATAAAATAAATCAAAAATGAATCACATATAAATGAGAACTTAAAACTAAAATGAAATTAAAAAATGGATTTAAAGCTAGGCAAAGAGGTCTTAGACTTGACACCCAAAAACTTTCTATAAAAGGACATTTTCATAAATTGGAGTCTATCAAGATTAACTTTTACTGTGAAAAATTCTGTTAGGAAGATAGAAAATGAGAAAGTAATGAGTTGCAGACATTTCACCAAAAAATATACGTAAATGACAAATAAACCTGTGAAAAGATGTTCAACATGATTACCAATTAAGGAAATATTAATAAAATGTAAAATAAGAGATCATGACAGAGTAACTAAAATGAACAATAGTAATTACACATACTGATGGTGAGAAGAGGGGGAAACTGGATTATTCATACATTGCTAGTGGAGATATGCAATGGTACATCCCCTCTGTAGCACAGCACAGCAGATCTTCATGACGTTAAACATGCAACGACCACATCACACCATTTCTGGGTGTTTACCCTAGAGAAAGACTGACTTATGTTCACGTAGTAACCTATATACGAATATTTATAGCATATTTATTTATAGTAGTCAAAACTGAAATTAATCCAGATGTTCTTCAACAGATGAATACATTGGTACATCCATGTTATGTACTATAACTTGGCATTCACATGGAACACACTGTTGATACGTACAATAATCTGAATGAGCCGTCTCCTGAGTAGGGAGAAGAAGTCAATCCTGCAATTTTTAATTCCATTTCTATAACGTTTTTCAAAGGACAATACTATATAAAGGAGTAAAATATTCGTTGTTACCAGGGCTAAAGGAGGAATGGGAGCAGGAGGTAAATGGACATAGCTATAAAAAGTAACACAAGGAATCTTTGTGGTGAGGATGTTTTCAAAATCTGGAACTATATGGAATAATATAATTTGCTTTACTGGAATGAAAAATATTATTTGGAAACAATATAAGATTACTAAATTGTTATTTTGGGAAAAGTACTCTGCACGATATGTGTTTTGAGACTCAAGTATTCATTCGACTAATGTTTAAATTGTTATTTTATTGTTGGATATTATGCTTGAAATTGTGTGATATCGAATGTGTGTTAAATTTAGTAATTTAGTGGGGACTTGATTACAAACAATAATTAAAGAACTTTATGAGTTAAAATATGAAAATATCGTGATTTATACCAGTTTCAATTCAAGCAAAGTAATGTTTAATTGTTACATATCCCAGTAACATTAATTTCACGACCCAGGTGACTCACTTAAACCTGAGTTTTTTATTTGTTCAACTTCAATAAAATGAAATTGGGCACAATAATTTCAAATTGTTCCCCATGAATATATGGTCATCCCACTGTTAGGCTTCATTTAATTATTTAAAAATATTTAACAAACAGATTATATGATGGGCAGTGAAGGTAAATGTTGACCTAAATAGAATCTTTAGTTGCCATTGTGGCAAGAGTACCTATTTTAAGATATGGCCACTTTGTTTGACATATAAATTCAAATTGAGGTAAGTGCTGTAAGGGGCTACCTAGGCTGGTAGGCTGGGACTGGTACCAGTCCGTGCCCTGTTATGAACTGGGCTGCACAGCAGGAGGTGAGCGGCAGGAACCAGCATTACTGCCTGAGCTCCGCCTCCTGTCAGGTCAGTGGTGGCATTAGATTTTCCTAGGAGCACAAACCCTGTTGTGAACTCTGCTTGCCTGATATCTGAGGTGGAAACAGCTTCATCCAGAAATCATCCCACCCACTCACCATCCATGGAAAAATTGTCTTCCATAAAACCAGTCCCTGGTGCCAAAAAAGGTTGGGGAATGCTGGAGTAGTGTATTAGATTCCAGAAAGCAAAAATAGACTATACCAAGCATTGAGTGGAGGAGGGAAAGAAAGAGGAGAGAAGGAAAAAAAAAGATTTATAGAAAATGGTTTATAGAATGAAATAAAAGTAGGCTGGTAACGATGAAAGCTATTAATCAATTGAGAACTAGGCAAGGGAAAAACTGGAATGGCAGATCCTATTCACTTTATGGATCAAGTTACAATGTTTGGGAAGCATTCAAACAGCAATGGAAATTTATGGACAGACTTTAAGCAGGAAAGTTACGTATTTATTTTTGTGAAGTTACTCCAACTGCTTTTGGAAAGTGCATTAGAGTGGCTCAAAGGAAGAATTGAAAACACGATGGCTAAGTGAGTTTATTTTGCAGTAGTTTAGGAGATATGTTGGATTCTCTGATAAAGTAGTTAGTAAAAGAAATAGCAGGAGATTGGCTGAATCAATAAATGTTTTGAGTTAGAATTGCTGTCTGTTAATTTTGTGAAAGTAAAGCACCAGCAAAAAATGACTACTTGTGTGTAGTATGATCAACTGAGTGTATGGAGGTGTTTTTAAATTGATTTTGAAACAATGGAGGAAGAATTTAGAGGAAATAAACACTATTATTTTGGACGTGTTAAGAAATTTACATGGGGATCAGAAAGATGAGGAAAATTTGTGGTAACATCCCTCTAGTAAATATTACATTAGTAAAATGTTTAAACATATACAAGAATATTATTTGATAACATATAATACTTTAGATTAATCTTGATTCACATGGGGCAAATGACTACCTAGTTTATTGTGATTTATAATATAATAAATTTTAGAGTATGGTTATAGCAATGGATTGAAAATTCAAAGTAGAATAATGCCTGATCTTCATTTATCAACTATTAATTGCCTTATTTACTAGGGCTGGCTATTGAGTTTCTATTAGATTTAGGATTACCAGAATGATCATTCTGAGAATTAGATCCAAACAGTAAGTACTTTTTATGAGCCATGTACAATGAGTTTGAAGTAGACTTTAATGATTTTTATCCACAATTCATTGTAGCATAGGGCATGAAATTATGTGAAAAACACAAACCAAATCATTTTTTGACTACCTTTTCTCATGTCTCATGAAAATATGTATTTATACCAAGACATTCATGTTTGAGATATGTATCAAAATTGTGTTATGGGAGAAAAGATGAGAAATGAAAAATCGCAATATTATTTTCTTTTAAGCATATGTGAAGACTAATTTTTATTTATTTTTTTTTTTATTTTTTAATTCTTTTTTTTTTTTTTTTTTGAGACGGAGTTCTACTCTTGTTGCCCAAGCTGGGGTACAGTGGTGCAATCTTGGCCCACTGCAACCTCCACCTCCCAGGGACTGATTTTTATTTTTATGGGCATTATTTTTATAGGCATTTCCTATGGTTGTGGAAAGTTGCACAAAAATTTAATGATATTTATTTAAAACCTATAAACATATGTGAATTTCAAAACTAGCTCAAAAGTTAAATGGATTAATATTTTGGATTAATGAAGAATTTACATCTCAGAAATTAGGTGGCTTGTTCAATATCACATAAAAATACATGACAGAGTAGGGAATCAGAGCTAACTTGTCAGATTCTGAATCTTATATTCTTTCCACTATTCAATTATATTTCATAATTAAAATAATTATAAGAGTAATAATAACAATAAGAGGACAACAACACCTCCATACACTCAGTTGATCATACTATACACGAGTAGTCATTTTTTGCTGGTGCTTTACTTTCACAAAATTAACAGACAGCAATTCTAACTCAAAACATTTATTGATTCAGCCAATCTCCTGCTATTTCTTTTACTAACTACTTTATCAGAGAATCCAACATATCTCCTAAACTACTGCAAAATAAACTCACTTAGCCATCGTGTTTTCAATTCTTCCTTTGAGCCACTCTAATGCACTTTCCAAAAGCAGTTGGAGTAACTTCACAAAAATAAATACGTAACTTTCCTGCTTAAAGTCTGTCCATAAATTTCCATTGCTGTTTGAATGCTTCCCAAACATTGTAACTTGATCCATAAAGTGAATAGGATCTGCCATTCCAGTTTTTCCCTTGCCTAGTTCTCAATTGATTAATAGCTTTCATCGTTACCAGCCTACTTTTATTTCATTCTATAAACCATTTTCTATAAATCTTTTTTTTTTCCTTCTCTCCTCTTATTGAGCTAGTTTATTCTAAACTTTTCTGGGGAATTGGATGGAATTTTTAAATTCGTAATAGAAAAATATTCTTGTAGTTAGTGTTATTAAATGTTTAGAAAAAAATAACATTTTTAAAGTTGTTAAGTGGTCTCCATCTATATATTTTTTTATTTACCTGATTTTAATGTCTTTACAGATTAACATTTTTCTGTTTCCTTTTATATACATCAAATATTTTTGGAATGTCTTTTACAAAGCAGTCACTGTACCACATATTAGATTTTGCTAACTTATTTTTATTAGATTTATGTGGTTAATGTATTTCAAAACTCACTTCACATTCGACAGATATTCAATAATAATAGTTTGATACATTCTAGATTTTGTAATTGTTATGCCATATAACTATTATCCATTTTTGAAAGCTACATAAGCAATTACAATGCATAGCAAAATAATTTTAAAAACTAAAATGCTATTAAACACGATTAAAAATATTTTGAGGAGGCAATAAATAACCTTGGAGCATAGTCATTACTAAAACTGTTAATCAAAGTTTTATTGTAATATAAGAAATTCCCTTTTAAGTCGATAGATAACTCGGTGACAGAGTTTATTATATTCCTTCTAATAGTTTATTAGTATAGTTATTTTTAATTACAAACATTTCCATAGCTAAAAAAATTCACTTCATTATAGTACAGTTTCCTTAATGCTGCAATTTCTATCATTTTACACTAACTACAAGAGATTCCTATTAGGGATAGAAGTGGTGATATCCATTAAGAAAGAACAATATAAAAATAATGGACTTGTCCAAGTTCTTTTAATTAGTTATTTTTTAAAACTGAAGTAAATGTAACTACTCTAGAACCCTTTCTTTTCTTTTCTTTTTTTTTTTTTTTTTGTGATGGAGTCTTGCTGTTGTCACCTAGGCTAGAGTGCAATGGCCAGATATTGGCTCACTGCAACCTCCCAGGTTCAAGCGATTCTCCTGCCTCAGCCTCCCCAGTGGCTGAGATTACAGGCACCTGCCAGCACGTCTGGCTAATTTTGATATTTTCAGTAGAGACGGGCGTTCACCATGTTGGCCAGGCTGGTCTCGAACTCTTGACCTCAGGTGATCCACCCGCCTCTGCCTCTCAAAGTGCTGGGATTACAGGCGTGAGCCACTGCCCCCGGCCTAGAATCTTAAATGTACTTTTGAGAAATTGACTATATTGATCAATACATAGAGTCCAGCTGACTTTCACTGCAAAGAGCATTCCTGTTGCTTTCACATGATGCATTTGAGATAGCCATCAGGGATGGCTTCATAGGTGTGGGATCAGTGCATTGGCACAGAACTCTATTCCAAAGATAAGAATTGAATATTCAATGGTTGCTGTTTAGTAGTTCTTTCTAATTTATCTCTGAATTTGTATGTTGTGAATAAAATCTGATAGAACGAGGTTGCCTGCGTGGGTGGCTTTGCTCATACATGATCCAGCCTCCTGTCTCTCCCTGTCTGTGCAGGATAGGTTCTGGCTGCTTCCAGAGTCTTGGTGGCACAGGGCTCTCCTGGCCTCCTGCATTCCTCTGCCCACCCATCCTTGGG
The DNA here is from genome assembly GCF_000001405.40 of Homo sapiens. Taxonomy (NCBI): domain Eukaryota; kingdom Metazoa; phylum Chordata; class Mammalia; order Primates; family Hominidae; genus Homo; species Homo sapiens. The sequence continues at coordinate 86,624,515 of NC_000013.11, read as the reverse complement.
CATCCTCCTTGAAGGAGGAAGAGGCACAGTAGCAAGGGGGATAGTGGTTAGGTAGGCCCACTTTCTTTCATCTCTAGGACATTAGTGCAGGCCCACGGAAGATGGGGAAATGGTGCACAGAGCCAGCAACATTTTGGGGTAGGACACTCTAGCAGCGTCCATCCTAACCCTGGGCTGCCAGTGCCGAAGACTCTAGGCGGAGAACTCAATGGTGTACGTCTCTTGCTCATGCTTGCTCGCTCTGACCCAGGTACTAAGTGTATACCAACAAGGAGTCACAACGTGGGGCCCCTGTGCACCTGTGAGGGTCTATACTCGCTCTACAAGTATCGTTGTATTCAAAGAAAAATACCATTAAATAACAAATAAAAAACCAAAGTGACAAGTCAAGAGATGAGCGAAGAAATAAAAATGTTTTATATTTTAGTATTTTTAATGACAATGTTTGCCTTATTTTTGAATGAAGGCTCCTATGTTTTCATTTTGTGCTAAGTCCTGCACATCACGTAGCTGGCACTGGTAGTCTTACATTTATTTTAGGAAAAGACAGCTCTTAAAATATAAGAATCCCCAATATTCCACATAGTCCTTTGGAGTTTAGAAGCATATTTTTGTATATGTTATCTTATTAAAAATTAACAATATTCCCGGCAGTGAGGTGGATTGTTACTATTATTTGTATTGTGAACTGATGAATTGTAATACATAAGTGACTATTTTCATTTATGTTCCAGGAAAAAAAAAATATATTTGTGTGTTGGAATTAGTGAATGAATGAATGAATAGTCTTCTCTTTTTTAATTATTGAAAATATACTGATGTGAAATAAATCCATTGTCCAAGTAGCGCTGTAACACAAATAATCAAGACCAGGTATGATGAAGATTAACATGCATCTTTATAACTCTATGCATTGCTGCTTCATATTTGGCTTTTTTTAAAAGCAGAGATCAATAATTTTACTTTTCTTCCCAAGTATAATCTCTCCATGTTTGAGGGTCACTGATGACCCATGAATTTGAATGATTTTAGAACCTGTATTGGAGATATAGGTAAAAAGCATTCTGGCTATAAAAAGAAGAAAATGACAGATTCCTGGATGGAAATAAAGTCAAAATGAAACTAATACTGGAGAGGGGCAGTCTTCAGTCATTTCAAATAGGGTTGTAAATCTTACCTTCAATTTGCCATTGATCGATTTATTGTTTGCTGAAAACAAAAAAACAAATGCCTTAAAGCCAGCTGAATTTCTTTTACTGTTTCCAAAATTTAGTTCATATACTGAAGGAGCACGTTTGTGTTCAAAATTCATAGCTCCTGCCTATTCTTTCTTTATTGTTTTGTCCTCTGGCACACACAAAATCCCCCAAGCCTTTCTGTGAATCCTGATTTGCATCTGTTGTTCTCCTCCTCATCCTTGTTCTCAGAGCAGCCACTGAGAAGTGTTTTACGTGTATCTTCTTTATTGTGATTAGCTTTCTGATATTCAGGATTGTATTCTCACTTTTTTCCATGTTCAGGATCTTCTGTCTTCTAAATTCTCTCCAAAGCTAACTCTAGTCTTACTCTTTGAATTCATGCCTTTTATTTCATGAGTACAATGGATAGTAGCATGAAATTGTTAGAAAAGGAAAACAGCAGGTAATACAGAATTACTCTATTAATCTTGGGGCATATTAGGCACCTGATCAAAGATTCTGAAAAAAAAATTATGAGGAATAGTAGAGGTAGATAAAATAGTTTCAACAAGAAGAAATGCCAAATTGGAAAAAATGCTGTATGGTAATATCCTGGCTTTCAGAAATGCTTCAGTTAAGGCACACAGAGCCCCATGGTGTCTTGTTTTTTCATTCTGCATAAAAAATTTCAGAAAAGCCGTTTCATACTTAACTTTATTCTAAATCTGACAAATATATTTAAAGTGAATTTTTGTAGAATATATATATAAAGGATGAATGAGAAGTAGTATTTGCCTTTAAATAGTTGAGTAGGAGCTGGGGAATGAATTCATTCCAGCTATCAGATTTATTTGCACTATATAGAATAAGTGAGAAGTGATTCATGATTATGATTTTCTAAATCTTGAAAGTAAAAAGTGAGTTTTAGCAAGTTTATCATGAAGTTTTCTGGAACTGTTTTAATCAAGGCCTGAGAGAATAATAAAAAAATACTGGACAATAAAGCAAATGAATGCTAATATGACTTGAAATTCATAAGGATGGCTATTGATTGAGCCAGTAATTCAATCTTACTAGCTAGCATCCTACTAGGAATGGAGAATGCTCATTAGGTGTGGACAGATTTTAATACTTAGAATCCAGTGAAGTCAGTGAAGTATATCAGACAATAAGAAAAAATGGAAGTCAAACGGCAGAGTCCTGAGTTTAAATAATCAGGTTATATCTGTATTTTAGTCAGTGGTGGATAATAGTGAAATAATATAGTTTTTGACAAAAATCATCATTCTGTTTTAGCAACACAGACTGGTTTTTATTTTCTCACCCATCATGGACAGTCTTGGTGGAGCTGACATCAGGGCAACCTACCTACTCACTGCATGGTATAACAGTGGCTGTCTAGTCTGAATCTTTTTACAGATGCTTCAAAACATACAAATTTACAGGAGGGAGAAAAATATTCATTGCTATGATTGCATTACTGTTAGGGAAAAAAGGTAATATGGAAGAGATTATTTGTATATAACTAGGAAAGTAAATATCTGAAACCAGAAGAACCAACTCTTTTTCTCACATCTGACCTCAGAGATTAGGTGAAGACTGTAGAAAAGAAGAAAAATAGCAAAGTTTTAACCATTGCAACAAGAAGGCCCCCGAAAGGAAAAATAATGAAAACAGACATGATGACACTGACAAGGAACTGAAAGGAATCGATTTAAAAGCAGGTGATGGCAGGCATGACATACATAGAAATGCACAGTTTAAGGAGATGGGGATGTGGCTTGGAATAGACATACATCTATTAGAGGTTTGATTATGAAGAGAACGAAGAATGGAAATATTCAGAAATAAGTGTTTTACAGAAATGGAAAAGGCAGTATCTGAAGATACTTTAACCACACTCTAAAATTTAAATAAATAAATAGCATGTTTCATTAATGCATTAATGTTCATGCAATTTTATTTTGCATCTTTTTATGTTGATAAAGATTGTTATTGTTTTTTTGGAAAACTAAAATTGTAGTTTCCCAAGTAACCATTGGTTGTTTGAAAGCTTATTTTTTTATTTTTTATTTTTCTTTATTTCTTAAAAACAAACAAAAAAATGGGATACGTGTGCAGAAAGTCCAGGTTTGTTACATAGGTATACGTGTGCCATGATGGTTTCCTGCACCTATTGACCCATCCTCTAGGTTCCTTCCCCTCACCCCTCACCCCACAACAGGCTGTGGTGTGTGTTGTTCCCCTCTCTGTGTCCATGTGCTCTCAATGTTCAACTCCCACTTATGGGTGAGAACATGAGGGGTTTGGTTTTCTGTTCCTGTGTTACTTTGCTCAGGATGGTGGTTTCCAGATTCATCCACGTCCCTGCAAAAGACATGATCTCATTCTTTTTTGTGGCTGCATAGTATTCCTTGGTGTATATGTACCACATTTTCTTTATTCAGTCTATCATTGATGGGCACTTAGGTTGATTCTGTGTCTTTGCTGTTGTAAATAGTGCTGCAATAAATATATGTGTGCATGTGTCTTTATAGAGAATAATTTATAATCCTTTGGGTATATACCCAGTAATGAGATTGCTGGGTCAAATGGTATTTCTGGTTCTAGATCCTTGAGGAATCACCACACTGTCTTCCACAATGGTTGAACTAATTTACATTCCCAGCAACAGTGTAAAAGTGTTCCTATTTTTTCACCACAGCCTCGCCAGCATTATTGTTTCCTGACTTTTTAATAACCACCATTCTGATTGGCATGAGATGGTATTTCATGGTGGTTTTGATTTGCATTTCTCTCATGATCAATGATGTTGAGCTTTTTTCATGTATTTGTTGGCCACATAAATGTCTTCTTTTGAGAAGTGTCTGTTCATATCCTTTGCCCACTTTTTGATGGGGTTCCCCTTAAAGTGTAGATGAAAAAAAGCAAATATGGTAGCTGTAAATTCATACCTTTGATTTGGTCTGAAAAATAAATTGCAAACACATTTTAAAACGGAAAAGTATGACACGGGAGCATATAACTTGCTACAGAAAATCAAATTCCAAACAGCATAATACATTTATGATTTTGTTCATTGAATCTTCCCCGTAACAAATATTGGAACCTGAGATGAGCTACGGAAAATAAGAGTCAACATGAAAAATTAGAATGAAAATATAAACATGATTTTTACTTATGTATTTACAACAATCTAGTTTATCATGTCCCATATATTAAAAATATATTGTCATTGCTGAAGCAGAATGTCTGAAAATTCCTAATAACTTGTTTTAAAACTTCACCATGGTATTATTATGTGAAAAGAAAATAATGATTTTGAATTTATTGGCAGAAGACAAAAGTGCTGTGAAAAAATGTTAATTTTATAGGCATAAACTTTTTTAGTTTGGTGCAAAAGTAATGGAGGCCTTTGCCATTAAAAGTAATCTTTTCACATTGCTAAGCCTTTATTTGCTAAAAACCAATATTTGTAATACATATTACATTTAATTTAAATAATTTTTTTCATTGGTTTTCAAAAGTAGTTTTCTTTTTATCAAGATGATGATAAATTAAGAGGCTTTATGTTATTAGAAATATGATTACTACTGTTTAAAAGGAATTACACCTGATTTATAAACATCTACAATGATTACATATGTGCATACACCCTTGTTCATTGAAATACATTTTGTTCTGAGTAGGACCCTGTTCTAAGTGATTAATGTGTATCAATTATTCAATCAGTACACCAACTATATCAGGTATATATTGCTAAATATCCTATTTTACAGATGAGAAAACTGAGGCACTAAGAGTGTAAATAACTTCTACAAGCTCATATAGATAGGAAATTTAGGATCCTGCATTTGAATCCAAAAATACATTCTCAAAATACCTCAGTTTTTACTATTACGTAATGCCAATAACTTAAATTTTACACAAGTGTATCAATGTACAAAATGGCATAGAGGCAAATAAACGGGATTTCTTATATATAGTAGAAGAAAAATAACTAAGTTCTGCATGGAAGCTAAAAATAGCAAAATATTTTCTTTTACATTATCCTACAGTAATCATTAAAATAATATTAATCTTATTCATATTTTCATGATCCTACAAACCATGTAAAATGTTAATGTTTGAAAATAACTTAAAGAACAACAATAAAAAAGTTTTGTCCCACTCGACCTCCACCACTATACATAGGTGTATTAGGCCATTCTCACATTGCTATGAAGAAATACCTGAGACTGGGTAATTTATAAAGAAAAGAAATGTAATTGGCTCATGGTTCCACAGGCTGTACAGGAAGCATGATGCTGGCATCCGCTTGGCTTCTAGAGAGGCCTCAGTGAACTTACAATCATGGTGAACTGGTGGGAGTAGAGAGTAGGCCCATCTTACATGGCAGGAACAAGAGCAAAAGAGAGCAGCGGGAGGTGCTACATGGTTTTAAACAACCCGATCTCATGAAAACTCACTATCAGGAGAATAGCACCCAAGGGAATGGTGCTAAACCATTCATGAGAAATCCACCCCCATTATCCAACCACCTCCCACCAGGCTCCACCTCCAACCCTGGGGACTATAATTCGACACAAGATTTGGTGGGACACAGATCCAAACCATATCAATAGGACATTCAATATATTGAAACAGTGTATTATATTTTCATAACTTTGTGGCAAATTTAGATGCACCTGTAGAACTTGAAAGGGTTAATCCAATTTTATAACGTGCAAAACTTTTCCCAAGATCTTCAGGTATGTACTGACATAACATAACCTATTATATCTTGATTAATTTCTTGTGTGTGACATGCTATCACTGACTTTATCAGTCCATTATTTTATTATGCATTGTTTTGCCTCATTGCATTGTATTGTTTTGATGCATTTTGATCCACTGGTTAAGCATTTTTTTTCTCTTATACCACTAATATGTTATTCCTTAAAAAGAAATGCACTAATATAATGATCCTGTGTATTCGTATTAGTTAACTTTATAAAGGATATTTTAGCTGTATATTCTTCTAACAGCTTTATACCTAATAGATGAAAGTAAATATTGCTTCCAGGTAATGATAATAGTAAACAGTAAGAGAGAAAGAGATGCAAATACATGTTTCCATTTGTTTTACTTGTTTTGTAGAAACTAAAAAAAATTCAGGGAAGATGTATAGTAAACATGTCAATAGGTGGATTTAAATCCTTATGCAGTTTTGCTTCAAGTCACAAGAGTTGAGAAACATTTTCTATAAAAATGCTACAATGAAAATATATCAAGCTTGCAGCCCAAGGGGCAAAATTGAGGACATTATCTAGGTGCTTATATAACTACTTAAAATGAACCATTTAAAAATGTTAAAAAACATAAACAACAAAAATTCTTAACTCACAAAACAGGTGAAAGGTCATCAGATTTGGTCAGTGGGACACAGTTTGCCTACCCTAGATTAGGAGGATATGTTGAAAAGTCAATTAGCAATCTTCTTCGATGACATATGGAAAGAAAAACCTCTCTTAGCATTGCCCTTGAGATAGATTTTTATTTTATTTGGTATGGTATTTTCAAAATTCCCAAGTTATTTTATACATTTTAAAAAGTTAGGTCTCAAAATGGAATCAATAAAAATGGTTCAAAATTAACTTTTAAAAATGTTAGCCACTATATTTGGAAGAATTACCCACTGACTGCATTCTTTAACTGAATATCTAAAACTACTATATAGTATGGAATTTTTTACCTCGAAATCAAATTAACTACTTGGATTTTTGTGCCTCTGCTTATTTTGTTGTTTTTAAGGCATGAGTGGTGTCAAAATCATTATCTTCTAAACCTAACTCAATACACGCATAATATTTTGAGTAAAATATAATGACATTGTGTTAAATATAATGATATGCAAACTATTATGTAAAGAATTCATTTTATAATGTCATTTCATATATTTTTTCATTTTATAGGGAGAAATAATACACTGTAAAAATGTTATGTTAATTCATTCATAGTATAGACATATTCTGTGGTATCTACAGATAAACACAGCTTCTGGGCTTCATGCAACACTGCAGATTATTAACTTTCTTTTTAAAGGGTATATTACTTAAGTTTTGCTTTTTGTTTATTATCTTTAAGATGAATTTAATATTTAGTTCACTTTCTAGAAACATTAATAAATCTACTGTAATCATTAACTGTCATACTTGAGGAAGCTTTTAAATTAATTTGTCTTTTTGCAGAGATATCAGATTCAATAGATTAAGAAACCTGCTGTTCCCCAACTTATTTAATTAATAACTATATAATTTGAATTATATGATTAGTTTTAAGTATACTATTTCTATAGCATAGTTTTTAGAACTTATTTGTATAAGTAATATCTATTAATATATAAGCTTTTTACAACTATCTTACTAATAACATTTTTTCCAGAATTCTAATATTTTCTTTTTTACAAAAATGGCTTCATTTTGTGAATCAAATGAATGCATGATAACATAGTTACTTTCTTAAGAAAAGTTACTGATGAATGTGATTGTAATTATTATTTTATTATGGCCATTCACAAAATAACAATGATATGTTCTGGCTGTGTCCCCACCCAAATCTGTCATCTTGAATTGTAATCCCACCATCTCCACATGTGAAGGGAGGAACCTGATGGGAAGTCATTAGATCACAGGGGCAGTTTCCTCCACGCTGTTCTCATGATAGTGACGTCTCATGAGATCTGATGGTTTCATAAGGGTTTGACAGTTCCTTCTTCAAAAGCTCACACTCTCTCCTGCCGCCTTGGGAAGAAGGTGCCTGCTTCCCCTTCTGCCACGATTGTAATTTTCCTGAGGCCTCCCCAGCCATGTGGAACTGTAAGTCAATTAAACCTCCTTTGTTTATGAATGACCCAGTCTCAGATGGTATCTTTATAGCAGTGTGAGAACAGACGGACACAAATAATTACAATCACATTCATCCTGTTTCATACAATTTGTTATCCCTCATTCCAACAACCCCAAATTTGATTTCCCATGTCACATGTGCAATATATTTTCAGTCTGCATATAAAATGCTTATATGATTGATTGGCAGAGGATGCAATTTAATTGCCACTCAAATATTGTCAATTTAGAAAACAGAAAAAAAATAGATTTTAAAATTGAAAAATGAAATGCAAGACTTAAAACTGATATAATCAGCACTTTTTAGGAAATAATTAAAATTCAACATAAATATTCACCAATTATATACAAGTTTTTATTTACCGTAATCTCATACATTTGTAATGTGTTGATTGAAATCACCTAATAATTTTCTTCCAAAATATAATTTATTTGAAAAGTAGAAGATCTGTGTTAGGAGCAGAACTTATTTCATAATGATATCAATTTTAAATAATATATCAAAGGTCCTCTGTGGTTTTAGTTTTGAGTTTATTGTTAATTAGATAATCATTTGTAAAATTCCTTATAGCATAAAATAAGAAAGAATAAAACTATGCATTTTGAATAAAGAATATTGGGCATAGTATTTGAGCCAAAACTTTGATAACTTTATAAATGAAAATACAAAAAATTCATTTTGTGCCAGGTGCAGTGGCTCACATCTGTAATACCAGCACTTTGGGAGGCCAAGTCAGTAGGATTGCTTGAGGCCAGGAGTTAGAAATCAGCCAGGACAACATTGGCAGAACTCATCTCTACAAAAAATTTAAAAATTAGTCTGGCGTGGTGGCATGTACCTGTAGTCATAGCTATGCAGGAGGCTGAGGCAGAAGGATTGCTTGAGCCCAGGAGGTTGTGGCTGCTGTGAGCTATGAAAGCACCACTACACTCCAGCCTGGGTAACGGAGCAAAACCCTTTCTCAATAAAAAACCAAAAATAAATAAATCTTTTATTTTACATTGATAATATACTACAATATCACAAATGTAAAATGACAGACTCGGTTGACCCAGGGTGTCTTATAGAAAGGATGAGATTTAAGATATAACTTCTTTCTGAATTATAAACAGGAAACTTTAGAAAGTCTTCAATGTGAGACAGGATTTCAGCTTTCATAAATCCAGTCAAAATATGAGAGTAAACAACAACAGAATGGTGAACAAATTCAATACCTAATAAAATGTCATAAAAACATACAACTGAATGGTTAGGCAGCTGCAACAACCCATACTGTCTTTTGAAAAATGAGGGAAACTGCTATATAAATGTAAAAATTACATGAAAATATGGAACCAGTGAATTTGGTGATAAGGCAGAAATGAAAACTGCTGCAGCCTCCTCAGGCTGCTATAACAAAGTACCATAGACTGAATAACTTAAACAACAAACATTTATTTCTTACAATTTTGGGGACTGGGGAGTCCAACGTCAAGGTTTTGGTAGATTTTGTTCCTGGTGAGGGCTTTCTAACTTGTAGGGGACTTCCTTCTTGTTGTGCCCTCGCTTGGTAAAGAGAGAGAGAGCAGGAGGCAGGTGGCGGTGGGGACTGAGATCGAATGAGCCAGTATACAAGCACTCTGGTCTCTTCCTCTGCTTAGAAGGGCACTAAGTCTCTCATACAGACCCCACTGTCATGACCTCATATATATCTAATTACCTGCCAAAGTCCCAACTCCAAATGCCATCATACTGGGGATTGTGCTTGAACATGGGAGTTAGAAGGTGGAAGGGACAATTATACGCCCCACAACAGAAAGATAAGAGTGTTCAACACACGACAGATTTTTGAATGGCTATTCTGACAGATAGAAAACCTTGTTCAGACAGGAACACAGGCAAGTATGAAAGAAACTCTACTCCTTGTTGTGGGTTTTGAAGGTGGGGGTTGCAGGCCCTGAACCAAGAAATGCAGTGGCTTCTGGGTGGTGACAACAACCTTCAGATGACAGCCAACAGGGAAAATGTCCTATAACCATGGGAATTGAAATATGCCAGCAATATTAATTAACAAGGAAATGGATTCTTCCTTAGAAACTCCAGGAAGGAGACCACCAACACCTTGATTACATTAGCCCACTGTCACCCTGCTCAGACTTTTTATCTAGATATAATAAATTTGTGCTGTTATAAACCACTAAGTTGGTGGTAATTTTTATGGTAGCCATGGAAGAATAATGCATATACCCACCGAAAAAGTAAAATGTGATAAAATATGCAAGATATTTAATAATAAAATGTGCTGGTACTCTTCAAGTAAGAAAATACTTAAGAAAAATATTTTAGGAAAGCATTTCATTCATTAAATAAATACTGGCTTTTTGGGAGCAAGAAAAATCAGACAAGATAAGTACTTGGGACAAATATGTAAAGCAGTGTGTGTGTGTGTGTGTGTGTGTGTGTGTGTGTGTGTATTATTAGAGTTTAATAAGAGAAAGCTAAAGCAATGAAGTGCAATATGCTAGATTAGATGTGCAATATAAAGGTTTGTTAGTCCACATTCACTAAGAAGGAAATGCCAAGATGGAATGAAGAGAGAGAAAAAAAAGAAAAAACACCTGTAAGAAAGAAAATAGGAGGAGTCAAGGGAGGCTGAAATGCAAATGCAGTCAGAACATGATGCAAAGCTGATCCCGAGTAAAGGACAGAGGGAGAGAATGTTTGGTGAAATCATCTCGCAGGTTGGCAAGGCCTTCAGGAAGTCTACAAGTCCAATTTGGGTTTCAGGATTCACATGGCTCCCAGGAAAGGGGCAAAGGTATTGATGGTTTTCAGAGCACAGCTGCTGGGATCCTTGATCAGTTATCCTCCCTGCAGTTGGAGGTCTGCAAGGGACATTCTCTTGGCCTCAGTAAAGAAAAATGGGAACATAATAGAGAACAACTGAAGTATTCAAAAATCTTTTAATAAAACGTTCCCTACACCAATAAAAAATGAAATTTTATAATACTGAAGACAATGAAAAGGGCCTAATGCCAGAGATCAAGAAGGAGGAAAAAAAATGTGTTTGTATCCAATGTACAGGTTTGTATCCAATGTACATTACAAGAACAGGCAGTAGGAAAAAATTGGAACAATTATTTTAAAATTCTGAATAAAACTGTCTCAGAAACTAGATATTAAAATTCAGACAAATAATCAAATTTGACAATATCAAGAAAGCTTCAGGAAAAAAAATGAAACTTTCACCATACCTTTCACCATATATCAAATTAACTCAAGATATATTAAAGATGTAAATGTAAGACATTGAACTGTAAGTATCCTAGAACACCTAGGAAACACCATTCTGCCTATAATCCTTGGAAAATGATTTATTACTAAATTCTCAAAAGCAATTGCAACAAAAACAAAAAATGACAAGTGGGACCTAATTAAGCTAAAGACCTTCTGGGAAACATCATTCTGCCTGTCATTCTTAGGAAAGAATTTATGACCAAGTCCTCAAAATCAATTACAACAAAAACAGAAATTGACAAGTGGGACCTAATTAAACCAAAGAGCTTCTGCACAGAAAAAAATAAAAAAATCCAAAAACAAACAAAAATGATTTACAGAGTAAACAGCCTATAGAAATTGGAGAAAATATTCCCAAACTATGCATCTGACAAAGGTTTAATATGCAGAATGTATAAGGAACTGAAAGAATTCAACAAGCAAAAAATAACCTCATTAAAAAATGGGCAAAGGACATGAACAGACATTTATCAAAAGAAGACATAAAAATGGCCAACAAACATTAAAAAATACTTTCAGCATCACTAATCATAAGAGAAATGCAAATCAAAACCACAATGAGGTAACACCTCACATCAATCAGAATGGCTGTGATTAAAAAGTCACAAAACAACAGATGCTGGCGAGGCTGCAGACTAAAGGGAATGCTTATACACTGTTGTTGGGGATTTAAATTAGTTTAGCCACTGTGGAAAGAAGTTTGGAGATTTCTGAAAGAACTTGAAATAGAACTACCACTCGACCAGCAATCTCATTACTGGGTATACATCCAAAAGAAATAAATCATTCTACCAAAAAGACACATGCACTTGTAGGTTCATCGCAACCCTATTCGCAGTAGCAAAAACATAGAATCAACCTGGGTGCTTATCAACAATGGATTGGATAAAGAAAATGGGATATATACACCATGGAATACAAGCAGCCATAAAAGGAATGAAATCATGTCCTATGTAGCAACATGGATGTATCTGGAGGCCATTATCTTAAGCGAATTAATGCAGGAACAGAAATTCAAATAGCAAGTGTTCTCACTTAAGAGGGAGTTAAAAGTTGGGTACTCATGCACATAGAGATGTCAACAATAGACAATGGAGACTACTAGAGGGGAAGGGAAGGTGGGAGAAGGGGTTGAAAACCTATTGGGTACTATGCTCACTACCTCTGTGATGGGAGCACTTGTACTAAAACCTCAGCATGATGCAATATACCCATGTAACAAACCTGCACATGTACACCCTAAATCTAAAGTAAAAGTTGAAGTATTTTTAAAAATGAATAATTAAAACATATGAAAAAATAAAGTTTCAGAAAATTAATAATACTTAACATGTACCCTTTTATATGTACATAAGTTAGAATTAAGGAATTCTCTTAGTCTCTTCAGTTACTTAATTTCTCCTTGATAACACACATAAAATGTTGTACCAAAATTCTTGAAAGTAATGTTACCAAAATATAACGTATATTTATGTACTTATACTATATTTTTACATATAAATGTTTTAAATGTTCATGTACTAATATCTATCAATTGTTTCCCTTTTTTTTATTATACTTTAAATTCTGGGATACATGTGCAGAACATGCAGGTTTGTTACCATGGTAGTTTGCTGCACCCATCAACCCATCATCTACATTAGGTATTTCTCCTAATGCTATTCCTCCCCTAGCCCCTCACTGCCCAATAGGCCCCAGTGTGTGATGTTCCCATCCCTGTGTCCATGTGTTCTCATTGTTCAACTCCCACTTATGAGTGAGAACATGTGGTATTTGGTTCTGTTCCTGCCTTAGTTTGCTGAGAATGATGGTTTCCAGCTTCACCCGTGTCACTGCAAAGGACATGAACTCATCCTTTTTTATGGATGCATAGTATTCCATGGTGTATATGTGCCACATGTTCTTTATCCAGTCTATCATAGATGGCCATTTGGGTTGGTTCCAAGTCTTTGCTATTGTGAACAGTGCTGCAATAAACATACGTGTGCATGTGTCTTTATAGTAGAATGGTTTATAATCCTTTGGGTATATACCCAGTAATGGGATTGCTGAGTCAAAAGGTATTTCTGGTTCTAGATTTATAATAAAATGATTTGGTGGTTAGGCTTTAGGGCCTGGATAATCATTTCTTTGAAAAATTATAAAAATGCTATCTACATTTTTATTAGGCAATGATTATAGATTTATTTATTTCATTCTGAGATATTCTTAAGCATACCAAACATTAGTAAATAGTATGAGTGATGATGTTATCTACCATCCTGCTTTACTAGATTTTAAATATTATAACATGTTATTCATGACATTTTCAGTAAGATAATGTTCTAAATATATTTGAAGCCCTCAATCTAAGTCTTTTCCCATATTCCCCTGCAGGTATTACTATCCTGAATGTGGATACCTATATCATTACAAATTGGAATTTATTGAGTCTTAGCAAAACTTTCTTTCTTCAGTATTACATTGTATGATGGTATACACATTAGTAGATATGCTTCCATTTGTGTTGATTTATTAGTATGATTATGCCATCTTCTACTGATGAACATTTAGATTTTCTCAATTGTTTGGGTTATTGCAAACAATACTCCAATAAACTGTCACACAATTGGATTTCCTCTTTTGTCACATATGGAAAAGTATCTCTAAATGTAATAAAAGGAGTGAAACTAAAAACCAGATGACATGCATGTCTTAAGATTTAATAGATGTAGGAAAAGTGTTCTTCAAAGAGTTTGTATCATTTACACTCCCACCAGCAAGTACAATGCTCGTTTTCCAATACATCACTTGATTTTGACACTTACCTTAAAGTTTGGTGTATTCAAAAGTCACATTTTATTAGTAGAATTTTTCATTTCTCAGAAAAGTGAAGTAGATTGTATTTATTTTCTATTTTGCTTATTTATTTTATCTTCTATAACTTGTTAAGACATAACTTATGTTCAATCATTCTAATAACTTATTTTCACTTTATAGACAGATAGATGATGGATGGATAGATAGATAGATAGATGTTTTATTCTGGATACCTATGTTGTGCTGTTTATATGAGTTGCAGTTTTTATCTCTCAATCATTTCTTGTCTTTTGGCTTTATCCATGATATCTTTGTTGAATATAATTTTTTTAAATGTAAATCTATACATCTTTTCTTTAAAGGATACATTTTATTTACTTTGTGCAATTTGTTTATAGGCAAGAAATGGATGATATTAAAATAAGAGTGGATCACTTGCTTCTTACTTAGGCTAGAGAGGGCAGGTGACTTTTTGAGAAAGGCAGTACCAGATTTTGTCAGAGCAAAGATGTGTGTTGACTGTGGCCCCATGAGGACTAAGGCAGGAATCTGAAGTAGGTGCCCCTTAAAAAGTCATCCCATTTGTGAGAGGTATTGTCTAGATCAATAAAATTGTGAGAAGTCACACTGGTGGGAGTTCTCTGAAGAACCTATAGAAAACACATCACAAAAGAAAAAACATTAGTGTTTGGAATATGCCATAGCTAGAAACCACCAGTGCACATTAAACTACATCTTCGAGGGGGCCAGGCTTGGGAGGCCAAGGTGGCGGATCACAAGGTCAGGAGATCAAGACCACCCTGGCCAACATGGTGAAACCCCATCTCTACTAAAAATACAACAAATTAGCCAGGTGTAGTGGCACGTGCCTGTAGTCCCAGCTACTCAGGAGGCTGAGGCAGGAGAGTGACGTGAACCCGGGAGGAGGCAGAGGTTACAGTGAGCCGAGATCGCACCACTGCACTTCAGCCTAGGTGACAGAGTGAGACTCCGTCTCAAAAAAAAAAAAAAAAACTACATAGCGCAGTTATGTCTCCTACCTCTCCTGCCTCTCTGTCCTCTTGTCCCAAATATAGTAAAGCCACAAACAACGGCTAAGATAGAGGATGAGATTAAGCAAGAAAAAGAAAAAGGAAGCACCAAGTCCTTCCTCCCCATTGTGATTTTTCTGGCTTTGGATAGCCGTGAATTTCACTTAACTTACAAAAAGTTTGGAATTTTCATGTCTCTTTATTTTATTATTAACGCAATAGAATATGGTTTTCTAATGACTGACAAACCAGATCTTTTATCCTGTGTAAGAAAAGCAAGCTGAGAGACTAAATCAATGACAGGACAATTTTGGGAAAGAATAAAGTGGCTTTATGCTGCCCCCTATGTAATTTAGTTCATTCAATAAACTGTTCTGTGTGCATGAGCCAAGTAGGCCACAGAGAGTGTCATGGTCCTTCTGTTACAAGCAGAAGGTTACCAGCATGTTTCATGGAGTTCTTTTAACTCCCTCAGGGTGGAGTTCCCTTGGGAATGATGGTGTTATTTGAAGACACTCTGTATCCTGCTAATTAAAACACTTATTTTTAAAAACAGATGTTCAAAATCTCACTATTCCTCCTAATAGGAACTGAGCATGAAATATGTGAAAACGAGCTTTTCGCATAAACTATACTGTATTTGATATTCACTGATTAATTTTTGCCTAGGTATAATGAATAAAATAATTTGTTAGTATAAGATTATTCAGATTGTCGCTTTCTAATTGAAAACAAATTAAGAACACCAATTTTAGGTTTTGCTGCGTGGAATTATTTTAAAATAGATTCATATAATAAAAAATGATTTTGTGTCATTTTTTTTCCGTGAATATCCACAGGTATCTTTGATCCTCCAAAGAACTTATTGTTGTTCAGATGTCTTGATAAACACTTTCAGAATAAATAATAGGTATTTCTGAGGCAAACCACAATATCAACTCATTTTTGAGACTGTATGAAACCCAATGTTACCCCATTAATTAATGATTTCTGCCATTTCTGGAAAAAAGAAAACACACATCCTTAGAGAAAGCTCACATCTACAACAGAAACACTTGTGTTACAAATATTATTGTTGTTATTTCTTTTTAAAAAAATTTTTAAAGAAAGAAGTTTATTTGGCTCACAGTTCTGCAGGCTATACAAGAAGGATAGTGCCAGCATCTGCTTCTGGTGAGGCCTCAGATAGCTTACAATCATGGCAGAAGGTAAAGAGAGGAGCAGGCATGTCGTATGTTGAGAAAGAAAGCAAGAGAGTTATTTGTGATATTGTTATTTTTACTTATTTCTCAGATGTTCTGTGCACAACAAAGACAAGCTCTGAATGTTTTCCCTGAGATAGGTGACATAATGTTATTGATGATAGGGTAGTAGCTACATGCTAAGAATTTCACAAATAACAACAGCTGTGGTTATAACCACCACGTAGAAAGCTGTCCATAATCTCCTCAGATGGTCTTTCTAAATTATGTACATGTGTGTGGTTGTGGAATGATGACAATCACGGTTAGACGGAGAGTCCATCTGTTGCAAAACTTGCCGTGAACATTTCTATTGACCAATATCTTAGGTCGCACAGTTTTCTGAGTTAATGAACATCAGTATGTCTCTTTTCATTTGTTGTTATTGCTTCTCATCTACAAGCTCTTTGGTTTTTACTACGTATCAGACCTCACTTTAGGGCTTCAATACCATTCAAAGCAGACATCAGAACTTTCAGGCCTATTGTATAATTAGAACATATATATAAAAGGACACATACTATACTGTTAAGTATACACACACATACACACACACAAACATAAACACACACACATACCATGCACATTTTCCTTTGCTAATACTGATTTCCCAGTATCATAATTGATATGGATAATGGTCATGCCTGATTTTTTTCCATATGCCATAAAATGAAAGTATCTACATTACAAAAATCAAACAAAAATCCCATAATACCCATAGCACAAGGAAGAAGTGATGAAAAACAATTATTAAAATGAGAAGTAAGAAATGTCTATGGTCTTGAAAATTCATAATAATTACCTTATTCAATTAATAATACTGGTAGTATAACATTTATTGAAAACTACCATACAATTAACATATTTCAGTTTTCATAATTCCAAAATTGGAAATAAATTCTACATCTAAAAATATGAGAGAAATAAGTAAATATGATACTATGAAATTATACCCAGCCCCTACATAGTGTAAATTGAATTTGCTTATAGAAAAATATTTACAATTATATGAATAAAGAATACTACTTAAAAGTATGTTACTGTGATATACATGTGGTAAGAAAAAAATGGTATTTTTTCTTCTCTGGTCTTTCATGAGACATCTGAAAGGATTTGTAAGCCAAATATTTAGTAATCAATTTCTGCACTCAAATATTTAGAAATCAATTTCATCTTTTATTGCCCTTTATTTCCTCATTTTGATTAATCTAACATTTAATTTCATAAAATAAATTTAACAATCATGTAATTGAGTACAGAAATGAAAGATAAGTTGACACACAACTCTATGGACAAAGATGAAATATACTCCATTATTTATTTCAAATATTTTTAGATTTGTTTAACTGTTTCAAGCACATGCATATGCAATTAATCATACACTTTGCTAGATAAACATAATTTATTTGGAAAAACAAATGGCCCAAGTGATTATTTGTTCTTTTCAACGAGTACATTCTACATTCTACAAAGTATATTTAAACTTCTGGTGTAGAATGAGGAGATCCCACCTGGAAAACATACGCAGTAGAATTCATGTATTCTCACTATGACCAAATTTATATTGCTCTGTGGCAGGCTACTCAATTGCATCTCTGAAAAAACAGGCATTGCCATTTTTTTAGCATAAAATATAATGAGAGCTAGAGGTAGGAGGAATGTACATATGATAAATATGTGCATTAAAAATTTTGAACAAGACTCATATGGACATATCTGATGCATAATAGTGTGAATCAGAAAAATCTGGTAAAAGTAACCTTATGAAAAGTACATTTATCATGTCTTTAAATGAAGTCTGTATTCTTTCTCATTTTTCATTCTTTGAACACTGTCTTTTTTTGCATAGGTTTATGGTCACAAGATGTCTTCCTGTGCTCTAGGTGTCATATGTATACCAAAAACAGGAAGGGGGTGATTGTAGCAAGAACATATATTCTGCTGAAATCTATCCGTTTTCTAATGCAACCAAAACTTCTTCAAAGCTCTTTCATGAACTGATTAGAATGTGATGGCTTGCCTAAAAGCAAGGGATTAAAGGAAAGTGAAAGTTTAAGTCAAGACTGACCTAGACATTCAATACTCTTTACTGAGGAATGGGTAAAATATTATAGGACACTATTGAACACTTATGTGTACTGTATGTGTGTGTGTATCAGTGCAATTCAGAAAAGGAAAAATGTATTTCTGAATCATGTATCTAACCTACATAAATCTACTTTAATGTTACATTTTGAGAAGAAAGAAAGTCCTGCTAAAGTAGAATGTGGTAAATTTATATACTAATTATTTTTATATGAAATGGTATGTAAGTCCTCACTTAACCTTGTGGATAGTTTTTGAAAACTATGAGCTTACATGAAATTATATACAGAAGGTTCTAGATTAAATTTGTTTCTTTCAATGACATTTTTTATAATGTTGTTGAGAAAAACAATTGCTTTGTAATACATCATTTCACTTAAAGTCAATTTCCCACAAACTACAGATGATCTTAACTCAGAACTTACTATATGTATATATATGGCATATTTTTATGAAATTTTATAAATCATACTATAATTTCTAAAAATGTAACAAATTTTATTATAGCTTTGCTCAGCATTCTAATTATGTTTTGAACATTCATACTTATTTTAACAGTAATCTCTATATCACTGAATTAGAAGCATACATTTTAAAAAGCCTAAATTTTTAATGCTATAACTTCTTTATTATTATTATGTAAGTTAAAAAAGCAGGGTTATTTTCTGTTTTATGTCCTGTTATATCATCACAACAGTGCTTATAATAAGCAAATACCTATTGAATGAATTAATAAATGAATGAACAAAAGCATATAAAATAATTATAATTTGCCTAGACCTTTACTACTAGCATTAACAGTATTACTATTTCTCATTTAGTAATAATTCTATTCCTATAACTGTCTTTAATCTACAATGGTAGACCAAAGATCATTAAGAGTAAAAATTTCAGAAAGGAAATAATAATAATAATAACAACTTGAAAGAGAAGACAGCCATTATATTTTGATAGCTTGCATAATGTTTCTATGATACATGGTGCATTATAATAGCATTTTGAATTACTGTGTTGTTATTGACAATCTGTGCAAACCATTTAGAAGATAATTCAGTATATGGCTCCTATCATCACCAAAGGCTAATGAGAAAGACAATACTTTAAAGCTCTGTAAATGTGAGCAGAGAGAAATAACTAAAAGAAAATTTCAGCGCTATATTTTTTAAAAGCTTTGATGCTGAAAAATTACAGTTTTTATTTTATTCATTTTCTAACCAAAGGCTTTTGTGAGAAAGACACATAAATGACAGCAAGGAAAAGCTGAATGTCTGCAAAATATTTTTTGTCAAGTGGAATACATCACTCTTTTTAAAATATTGCTTTGTTATGCATTTGATGCTGCATATAGTGAATTTGTGTTAGCACATAAAATATAGAAGAGTCATATATTTAGAGGGACAGGTTAAAGAAAAATTATAAACACTAATATTAGCAGAAGTGTGAAAAATGACACAAGATACAGAATACACACATATTATAATTTCTGTGAGAGAGAATTAAACCAGAAAATACAAGAAAACTTACATAGAGGCCTGAGTTTTCCTTGTTGACAGTGCTGCACAGTGACCAGGGTAAAATTACTGCAAAAAAGACACAGCTTTGGAACTATTTCGAGGGGACTTCTGAATTCCATGTGTAAGGAGGAATTCTTACAGCATGACTGTTATGTTTCCCTCAAATTTGGTCTTGGGGTCTCTTTCTGGAGATGAACTCTCTCCCTACCGTGATAGAATTCCAAGGGAATTGGTGCTTGATATTTATGGTGTGCCTTCCACGGATACATCTTTATCCTGACAGATAATCCAATGCCTGTAACCCGGTGTTTTTTTTCACAAGACACTTTTTATGCTGGCAGATTACCTTGTGGTTCTTGTTTGATATGTGCTTAGTTTATCTCCGCCAAGATCGCCACTCTCTAGGAGAGCTCAGAACAGGAAAAAAGTTAGGTTTGGGTGAGTTGGTCAGGTGAGACACAGAGGAGCAACTCAACAAAACACATGAAATAACAGGAACAGTGTATTTCTTACAGATCAGAGGGAAGAGGGCAGCACACCTCACGGAGTCGATGGAAACAGGAAAGTCAGACAGGACAGGTGTGCTCAACCAGCAGGTAAGAAGTGTGTGTGAGAGAGAAGAGCAAGTTTGAGCAAGAGGCCTGTGGATCAAGGCCTTTCTTGGGGTCCAGCATGTTACCCAAGCAAGTTTCCTGGGGGAGCTCTACTTGGTGGCTTTAGAGCAGGCAGGGGCAGGTTCCATGGGGTCATGCTCTGACTAGTGGCCATTGCCATATGTCTACATAATTTATGTGGGATATCAAGGTCAGTGGGGTGAGTTAAGTAGGTTGTATCTAGCTCTTACATAGGGAGGGGTCACCAGGAGGCAGTTGTACAGGTAAATATATAGGTCAACCACCTTGAGGAATTGGGAGGAGACAAAAAACTGGAAACTATGTCAAGGTTGACTGATCCCTACTTGTGGTACAAAAAAGTTAATCTATATTCAAAGTGGATGACAAAACAACATAAAATTATAAGGATTCATGATAATTACATGCATAGATTGTGGTTTACTTTCAAAAGTGCAATCAAATTCACACAGAATTATATATCTAAAAAATAAAAGGTCAAATTTAATCTAACATTTTTGCATTTATTTTAACACAATTATTAATGTACAGAAAGACGGCAATAATGTTTCAAAGAATTCTTTTTCTGAGAAATTGGAAAATACACTACTGACATCAAACCTCCACCACTGCCTGCATCACACACTAATTTTTTAATGTGTATTTTTTTATGAAGGATCCATTATACATTCTATTTTACAGACCTTATTTAAATTTTGGTACTTGTCCAAGATACTCTTCTGTATAGAAAAAGGAAAGGAAGAAGGATGGAATAAAAAAATAAAGGAAGGAAGGAGGGAAGGTATGGAGAGAAGAAGAGGGAGGGAGGTAATATTCTAATATTAAAATTATTAAAAGAAATATTTTTAAGAAATACACTCAGCCAAGGTATTATTTACCAGCCAGAGCAGAGGTAAGACATTTCTATATATGCAAGTATTAGATCACTACACAATTACTTGATGTACCATAACTGAATAAAAATCATATCCAAAAAAGAGGTAAATTGATGATAAAACACATAAAAAGAGGAATGATATGTCTAATATTGTGGGCTAAATGTAAAAAATAAACTCCAATATTACAATAATGAAACTGCACTGCAATATAACTTCTAAAAATGGTCCTTTACGTGAAAATGGTCTCATAAAGAAAATAATAAGAGCACCTTTGAATTTTACATTATTTCTGACTGCTTGTGGGTTAAGCAAGTAGATGAGAGTTGAGCTTGCCAGTAATAAAATATATTCTAAATATTTTATCTCAATTAAGGCAGGGTTTAGATCATAATATTTTATTGGCATATTAAAATGTTTTCATTGGAAAAGGCATATTTGTATTTAATGTTAGATGTTTTTATTTAAAAATGCAGATTAAACTATACCTAAGTAGGAAGTGAACCACACAGTGTTGGGGTCAGAGGGTTGCACAAATAGGATAAAATTTGGGAAATAGAAAATTAAAAATACATAAATAATGGATGACATAAACAATGATATAAATGAATGGACAGAAAAATGCAAATAAACTAAATGAAGGAGAAATGTAAAACACTGGGAAATACAAATAATGAAATAAACAATATTTACTCATTAGCCTCACTTTGTGTGTTCTATAGCTGTCAGAAAATCCTCAGAATACTTTATTTAATGCAAGACTATGACCATTCAGCCACACTGAATTTTGAAGTGCTTAACTCTCATCCCTCTTCTATGTGGTATCCAACAGGTGTAAACAGTAAAGATTCATCTTTTGGATGAGAACATCTCACCCAAGCCATTCTAACATCTCCTGCTGACCCCCAATGTATTTGTACTTGGAAGTAAAAGAGGTCGAGTGGTAGCTAAATTTCATCACATAGTTAGAGAGAATTAGGAAACAATACAACAGCATGACTAAAGACATTGGTTTAAGATAGAAACATCATGGTCAGTTGTGGCTTATATAGAGTGTAAATGAAAAAAAAAAAAACAAAAACCCAGAGCATTCCTCCATCTCTCCACGTGGGTCATTCTGCGCCGTATTGAAGTCTAGCTTTCAGGATTCAAAACGTCTAGGGAAACTTTTCTGTGTGGAGCTACTCAGAAGGAAATTTTTTCTCTCTTCATGAATATATATGAGCCAACCAGTTGTATTTACTTGTGAAACTGTTCAATCTAAGCATCAAAGTGAGAAACAAACATGATGAAACAGAAGCATACATTTGAGTGGGAACATTTCGTTTTTCGATCGCATTTTTGTTTTGTTCATTTTAAGTAAAACTGGAGTCTTTTACACTGTGTTAATAGAAAGAGCCTCTAAAAAACACAATTGCTTTTCATGTCTTGATGCTGTTAATAAAACAGTGTGTGTGTCACCACTGAAGCAGATGACTCACAGAGAATCTCAGACCACATGCTGAAATGCCACCTTCTAATGAGTAAACTTGATTTCTGAGTTAGGGTCCTCAGAATCTTCTATGTAAATTGAAAGCATACTACATACTTCCTTCTCAAAAACAGTTTCACTTTCTTAAATTATGTTGAATTACCGCCAATGCCTAGAATAAATATAGCCAGGATTTTAATTTGATTAAAAATGTTGACTTTATTATTATTATTTTTTGTTCAAAAACAGTTCATCTTTGAAAATATTATTTTGGAGAAGTTTATATTTCTCTTGATTTTATTATACAGACAACATAATAGGTCTTGGCATATTTATTGTTAGTGTGGTCTCTGAAATTGTTTAATTAAGTGCAAATTCTAACTACTGTAACCAGGACATAACTTTTGTGATGGCTACTAAGGCAAACACCAAGATGTATTTTTTTCTCACCTGAAAAATGGGGATAATAATGGAAACCAAAGTGAACATTAAAAACAACAATGTATGTAAGCATAGCAAGTGTTTGAAAATAAAAGGTAGGTTAGAGGAAGGCATCATTTTAATAAAAGTAATCTTAGATATCATACATGCAGATTTAATGACACTTTTTTATATAATTAGCTATTACAAGCTCTCAAAGATAGGATGTTAATGTAAATTAAATATAACTCCAAAATTCCCCCTACTCTTTGAACGATTCTGGCTGTCTTTTAATTCAGATGGATTGTTGTGATGCTAGGTTGTAAAAGCAAAATAGTACAAAAAAATTCAGAAGGAATATTGATATTGTAAAAATCCTTGCATTTAGAAATGATAACTCAATATATTCTGGTATGAAGTGATAGGCTATTTGTAAGAAGATACATGTTATCATGACTTACATTTACCTTTTCAACTAATTAATATTACAGAACATAAATTTTAAGAAGTACCTCCTGATATGTATCAGAAAATGTTTACCCTTCACTCCTGTCTTATTATTTTATTTGTATCTCCCATGCTTCCAAATATTATAAGCTATAACATTATTTTTATAATATTTATTATATATTCATTCTTTAAAATTGGATTTTTATGCTTTACATTAGGTTAATTATAAAAATTGAAAAAATATTATCAATTGTAGGTATGTTATTTATGAAAGCACAATTATATGGTTTTACTGGACTCATGAATAAAGTGATATCATAACATATAACTTTCAAAGAAAAAAGTGAAGTATATATATTAAATACTTTCTCTTTTCTTACCAAAATTTCTCAAATATTCTGAATGTCTTTTCATACCTGAACTATTAATTTCTTGTGTATTCCCCTCAACACGGTTTGCTTCAGCATCATCATCTTTAAACCTTTGTAAATATATCATTTATAAATCCCAACCTTTTATTAATACTATCAAATTATGTAATATATTCTGATTTATTTTGTTTAACACAGAGGATACTCATTCTGAGATGCCTCGCATTGCCCTGTTTATTTAAGGGCCCTGTTTATGTTTCAAGGACAGCCCTTGAAATCATGATTTAATCTTTTTGAGGTTCCATTTTCACTTTGCTAGAAGGTGTTTTTAAATGAGGTCTTTCCAAGGAAGAATATATTTAAAATCAAATGTTTTAATGTATGAATACTTGGTTCTCTATTCATGGCTTCTGCACTCATAGATTCAACCAACTGTGAAATGAAAATAATCAAGAAAAAAACTCAATGAAAATAAGACTACAATAATAAAAAATAATACAAATTTAAGAATACCGTGTAACAACTATTTACAAAGCACTTACATTGTATTAGGTATTATAAGTAATCTAGAGATAATGTTGTATGTATCTGGGAAGATGTGTGTTGGTTATATGTAAATACTACACAAATACAGAGCAAGAAGGTGACCGTCTGCAAGACAGGGAGAGAGAACTCAGAGGAAACAAAACATACTAACAGTGCTTGGACTGCTAGCCCCCAAAACCATCAGAAAATACATTTATGATGGTTAAGCCACTCAGTCTGTGGTATTGTGTTATGGACATCTTAGCAAACTAAAACACTGGCATGGCCACAAATTGTTGACAAACAGGAACCTTTACATTTTGGAAATAGAGAGAGGTTTAAAAATAAGCAATATTTTCAGTTTCCACAAAAACCTACCACTGCTAGAGAAGCATAATTTTTGTGGAGGCATTTGAAATGTATTTATTCTATTACTCATTTGTTTACTTGCTGACACTCAATTAAGTAGTATTTTTCTTCAAAAATTACAATATTCTCTGGCAAAATATATTTTTTGTCTTACTGTGAGAGCAAAAGAGAGTGTATATAAAAAATGAGAAAAAAAAGAAAGAAAAGTTTAATTCGCCTACCTGATATACAAAGGAAAGAAGAAATGTACGAGAAAAATGGTCATTGAAGAGGAAAGATATGAACATTTAAACAAGGAGTAGCAATCCTGAAAAAAATTAAGAAAAAGAACGATTTTTCACATGATTATAACACTGTGCTTAGTGATAAATGCAGTAAAGTTTTCAGAAATAACAGCTCAGTAAGAGAAATCAGTAAAGAACTGTTGAGATCAATTGCTAGATTTGAGAAGTGGCTTAAATGTCATTATAAGAGGAGAAAACATCCTAAAGAAATTCCCAGTTGCCCGGTTTAAATTTTATTATTTTCATGCTTAGCAGTTTGTATATTAAATTCTTGTCGATAAAGTACTCAGAGCAGGCTATTTTAAAATTACACTCCCTAAGTTTTAAATGAAGTCCCAGCTGAAAACAGAAATGCAAACACAAATTCAAAACACATTTGGTATTAAATTTATTAATTACTCAAGAGGAATTGCAAGGAGAAACAACAATCTGATAAGTCAACTGGTACCCTGCAAGGGACTGAGAAAGAGTAAGTAATGGCACAGCATAATTGTATCCATTATGTTTATCCATAATTATTGTATATCTAATTGTATCTATAACAAGTAAAGATTGGTTGTGACATATCTTCAGAGAGCAATTCCTCAGCAAAGATGACCATTTTACACAGGAGTGAAGGGGTTACACAGCCAACTTCCAGAATGAAGACATTGTCATAGAGTAGGCTGGAACTTCCTATCTGAGAAACAAGTATTTTTCTGCATCCCATTCTAAGATTTGGAACTTTAGGTATTCATGAAGTCCAATTGTCTAGTCAGTTTAGTATTTATTATTAGACTAAATTTGCTCTTTAAATCCATGTTGAATAGTCTTGGCTATTTCTCAATAACCACTGAATATTTGTAAGTTTCCAAGTTTCACATTTGTAGTTCATCTTCCCTTTTTTTTTTTATTTTGGTGATAAAATAAACCTATACAATAATAATTAAATGACAAACATATTCAAGTTTTGGCTTTCAGTGCATCATTAAATGTATTTATGGTTTAACTGTTAATGAGCAAAAAAAGAGTGTAAAATATGGTGTTCATGTTTGGAAATATATATATTCAGCAAAATTAAGTTGGAATGTCTTAATTTTATTGAGACAAAAACTGATTACTGTTATTAACAGCATCTGCTATTGTTGTCAGGTTGAATTATTTTACCATTTAAGAAGACTGAACTCTTCTTTGGAGTGATAATTTGCAATAAAAAGTCATCAATAGAAAAATACTTTACTTCTGGGATGTGATTAATTTGAGCAAAACAACACCTGTCATACTAAAGTAATGTTAATTTGAATTTTATTTTTTAATATATATTTTTGTAAACAAGCAGGATGTTTTATTGCCATAAGAACTTGAGTTTAAGAAAGTTATTTCTATTTATATGTTTATAATTATACAATATGATACAATTGCAAATTACCACTAGGATCCTGTGGTACCCAATGATACACAAGGATACATAAAATTTTGTTTTTCCTTTAATTAGCACCTTCACCTTATTTGACTTGAAATTAGTCATTGATATAGTCAATATTAATCCTGTATGATGACCTTTCCATTTTAAACTTTTTACTGACTTATACCATATTCTTTTCATATACTGTATATTTTTCATACACATTGTATTAGTCCATTTTCACATTTTATAAAGAATAAGTGAGATTGGACAATATATAAAGAAAAGAGGTTTATTGGACTCATAGTTATGCATGGCTGGGGAGGCCTCAGGAAACTTAAAATCATAGTGGAAGGCAAAGGCGAAGCAAGGCACATCTTTCATGGTGGCAGGCAAGAGAGAGAGTGCAGGGGAAACTGCCACTTACAAAACCATCAGATCTTGTGAGAACAGCATAGGGGAGCAGCCCGCATGATCCAGTCACCTGCCACCAGGTCCCTTCCTTGACACGTTGGAATTACAATTAGGATTACAATTCGAGATGAGATTTGCATGGGGACACAGCCAAACCATATCACACATATACATGTGAGAATGTACAAATCTTAAATATAAAGCTCAGTAAATTCTCCAAAGTAATTATAGCCATGTACCTTCAAAATGTGCAACAAATACAATTAAGTTAGCATGTTAAAGCTGCCTTATGGCTTCTCTCTATTATTACTTCTCCCACTTTATTAGCATTCTTATTTTAACCCAAATTATTCGCTTTTTATAATTTGAATTTCATGCAAATAGAATCATACAGGATGAATTCTTTCTTATCTGTCCTTTTAATAGAAATGTTCAGGTTGTAACATAAAACTGAAGTACATTTGATTTTATTATCTGTCCTACAGAAATACACAAAGATATAACAATTCACATACATTTTATTCTTTCTTTTCACATTGTAAACCTATTGTATTTTCATATTATATACTGCATGTAGCATGAGATAAAATGGCAACATTGATTTGTAAATTAATTTGAGTTAGTGATTTTTTTAAACTTTTTTCCTCAATTTTTAAAAATTGACAGATAATATAATGGACTTACCATGTACAACATAATGCTTTAAAGATATGTATACATTGTGGAATGACTAAATCTAGCTAATGAACATATGCATTACCTCAATAATTTTGTCATGAGAACACTTGGCCTCCACTTTCTTGCATTTTTGTCAAGAATGCAATGTGTTGCTATTACTAAAGTCATCAACTAGTGCAACAGATCTCTTAAAGTTATTGTGCCTGCCTAACTGAAATTTGGTATCCCTTAACTAACAACTCCCCAACCGTCTCCCCATCAAACCTCTCTAGCCCCTGGCATCCACCTTTTTAAATTCCAGATTTTAAATGAGTGAGATAATGAGACATTTGTCTTTATTTCCCTGGCTTATTTCAGTTAAAATTTTATTCTTAATTGGTATTTGGCTTTCTATTTCAGTTACTATTATGAATGATGTGCGGCCGGGCGCGGTGGCTCACGCCTGTAATCCCAGCACTTTGGGAGGCCGAGGCGGGCGGATCACGAGGTCAGGAGATCGAGACCATCCTGGCTAACACGGTGAAACCCCGTCTCTACTAAAAATACAAAAAATTAGCCGGGCGTGGTAGCGGGCGCCTGTAGTCCCAGCTACTCGGGAGGCTGAGGCAGGAGAATGGCGTGAACCCGGGAGGCGGAGCTTGCAGTGAGCCGAGATCGCGCCACTGCACTCCAGCCTGGGCGACAGAGCGAGACTCCGTCTCAAAAAAAAATAAAATAAAATAAAATAAAATAAAAAAATAAAATAAAATAAAATGAATGATGTGCTAAAAATGCCCTTTTATAAATTTTCTACACATTTATTTTAGGTTCAAACATACATGTGAGGGTTTGGTACATAGGTGAACTCACATCATGGGGATTTGTTGTACAAATTATTTCATCTGCCAGGTACTGAGCCCAGTATCCAATAGTTATCTTTTCTGTTCCTCTCTCTTCTCTCACCCTCCACCCTCAATTAGGCCCTAGTGTCTGTTTTTCCCTTC
This sequence comes from Homo sapiens, assembly GCF_000001405.40. Lineage (NCBI taxonomy): Eukaryota > Metazoa > Chordata > Mammalia > Primates > Hominidae > Homo > Homo sapiens. Next base: position 86,595,647 of record NC_000013.11, on the reverse strand, counting down.
TTTGCATTCATGTTTTCTCATCATTTAGCTCCCACTTATAAGTGAGAACATGTGCTATTTGGTTTTCTGTTCTTGTGTTATTTTGCAAAGGATAGTGGCCTCCAGCTCCATCAGTCCCTGCAAAGAACATGATCTCACTATTTTTATGACTTCATAATATTCCACGGTGTACATGTACCACATTTTGTTTATCCAGTCTGTCATTGATGAGCATTTAGACTGATTCCATGTCTTTGCTATTGTGAATAATAGTGCTGGAATGAACATTCACATGCATGTGTTTTTATGGTAGAATGATTTCTATTCCTCTGGGTATATACCCAGTAATGGGATTGCTGGATGAATGCTAGTTCTGCTTTTAACTCTTTGAGGAATTTCCATACTGCCTTCCACAATGGTTGAACCAAAATTCACTCCCACTAACAGTGTACAAGTGTTCCCTATTCTCCACAACCTCTCCAGCATATTTTTTGACTTTTTAACACTAACCATTCTGACTGGTGTGAGATGGTATCTCATTGTGGTTTTGATTTGCATTTGTCTGATGATCAGTGGTATTGAGCTTTTCTTCATATGCTTGTTGGCTACATGTGTGTCTTCTTTTGAAGAGTATATATTCACGTCCTTTGCATACTTTTTAATGGGATTGTGTGTTTCTTGTAAATTTAAGTTCTTTATGGATATTGGATATTAGACCTTTTTTAGATGCATAGTTTGTAAATATTTTCCTCCGTTCTGTAGGTTGTCTGTTCACTCTGTTGATAGTTTCTTTTGCTGTGCAAAAACTCTAAAGTTTAATTGGATTTCATTTGTCAATTTTTGTTTTTGTTGACATGTTTTTAGTGTCTTTGTCGTGAAATCTTTGCCCGTGTCTATGTCCTGAGTGGTATTGCCTAGATTTTCTTCCAGGGTTTTTATAGTTTTGGGTTTTACATTTAAGTCTTTAATCCATCCTAAGTTGATTTTTGTACATGGTGTAATAAAGGGATCCAATTTCAATATTCTGCATATGGCTAACCAGTTATCCCAGCACCATTTACTAAATAGGAATTCTTTTTCCCATTGCTTTTTTGTGTCAGCTTTGTCAAAGGTCAGATGGTCATAGGTGTGTGGCCTTATTTCTGGGCTCTCTATTCTGTTCCATTGGTCTATGTGTCTGTTATTGTACCAGTACCATACTGTTTTGGTTTCTGTAGCCCTATAGTATAGTTTGAAGTCAGGTAACACAATGCCTCCAGCTTTGCTATTTTTGCTTAGGATTGCCTTGGGTATTCAGGCTTTTTGTTTGTTTGTTTGTGTGTTTCATATGATCCTTAAAATAGTTTTTTATAGTTTCGTGAAGAATGTCATTGGTAAGAATAGCATTGAATCTGTATGTTGCTTTCAGCAGTATGGCCATTTTAATGAAATTGATTTTTCATAGTCATGAGGATGGAATGCTTTTCCATTTGTTTCTGTCTTCTTTGACATGTGACCATGTGGAAATAAAATTTTCCACATTAAATTTTTAAAATAAAATTATATAGAGGGAAAGAGATTTTAAGGATTTGGCATACATGACTATGTGGTGGGAAAATCCATAATCTGTGGGGGAGAACAACAGGTTGGAAATTCAAATGTCTATTTTACAGTCTTGTGGCAGATTGCCCCCTTCTCTGGGAAACCTCAATTTTGCTCTGAAGACTTTTAACTGATTGGATGAGGTCTATCCAAAAAATGTCATTTAATATATTTACTTAAAGTCAATAATCTATTTACTACGAGTAGGATTTGATCAAACAAGTAGGCATCATAGCCTAGACAAGGGGACACATTAAATTAACTATCACAATACTATGACATTTTTGCTACCTATAACATAACTTATTTCTTTCATGACATAAATTTTGGATTTTTAAAATTCTTGTGCTCGTTTGTCATTTTATATTTTAAAATTTTAGTACCACTTTAAGTCCTCTCTTTTTATTTTTCCTATTTTTTGATTATTTTATATTTTTTAAACTTCAACCCTTTAACATTTCCAGTCATTCACAGACATTACATGTTATATTGTCACTATTTTAATGGTTTCTGTTAATAAAAAAAATAATTCTTCATATTTGATAGCTGTTGTTTTATTTGACCTATTCAGAAAATGTGGCCAAATGGCAAAATAATGAAGATTTTTCTGTATGAACTTCTACTGTCTTTATTGTTTCATCTTTTACATTTTTATATACCAGGAACTAATTTTGTTTATGGGATGAGGAATTGGTCATGTTGTCCTTTGTAAACTAAAAATAAGCTTCTAAGACCCCCACCATTGAACAGATCACCTCTTGGCCAAGGGGACCCCAGAGAAGCCTTAAAAACAGAGATCCCAGCCATAACAGGACCAGAGGTCAGACATGACTCATTATATCCCTCCCTTTCACCGTTTAGACGCAACTGACCAGCAGTAATGCTAAAAGAGAGATCATAAGGCAGAAGAAAAAGACTCATTGTGACAATCAGATACTGAATAATAAACAGGATCTGAAGCTATGTCAGACAAATGTTAAGGCATGCATCCCTACATGTAAAGAAAAAAACTATATTTTGACTGCCTAGAAGTGGTCATATATCATGGCTTACATCCTGTGCTTAAATACAAATTCTTAATGAATCTTCACAATTTTATCATGAGTTTCTCAAACTATTGATATACTGATATGGTTTGGCCGTGTGTCCCCATCCAAATTTCATCTCAAATTATAATCCCAACATGTCAGGGGAGGGTCCTGGTGGGAGGTAATTGGCTTATGGGGGTGTTTGCCCCATGCTGTTATCATGATAGTGAAGAAGTTCTCATGAGATCTGATGGTTTTAAAAGTGGCAGTTTCCCTTTCACACTCTCTCTCTCTCCTGTCGCCTTGTGAAGGAGATGCCTGCTTCCCCTTTACCTTCTGCCGTGACTGTAAGTTTCCTGAGGCCTCCTATCCATGCAGAACTGAGTTAATTAAACCTTCTTTTTTCTTTATAAACTAACCAGTCTCAGATAGTATCTTTATAGCAGCATGAAAATGGACTAATACACCTACTAATTAATACATATCTACCAACACTTAAAATGGGACTAATTTATTTCCAAATTATAAAGTTATACTAATTGTCTTGTGCACAAAACATTTTAGCTTACCTGTTGTCTTCTACAGTAAATAGATGTTGTGTGAATGTATTTCCTTGCCCTTAACCTCTATATTATAACCTCCAATAAAAAAGGACAACATTGATATGAGCAGTCCTTCACCCTTCTCCTAAACTTTTTCATAAATATTTTTATTTTTCATAAAAATATTTCAGCTTTTAACAGAGGTTATAACATACCTAGCTTTGATGATGTGTGTTCCAGAGTCAATCTTCAAACTTGGCTTTCAATAAACCCCTATCAAATTATTTCTGCCTCAATAATTTTAATTTCAGTCAACAACTTTTATCCTACTTTGATCACTCAATCAACTCTACACAATTCACTACAGAATTTTTTCATCTTTTCACTAATTTCCAGCCCCAACTTGTCAAAAATAACAGGTTCCTATATGCATGTATCATTTCCATTGGCTAAGTTTCAAATCCTTGCACAATATCACAATGACATAATTTCTGTTTCTTCATACTAGTGTTCTTTTTCCTCTAAGTTTTTGGTTGCTGTAAGACATTCTAATTGTTGCTCTCCTTGATAGTGTTTCTGGGTATCAGGGTTTCTTTGCATTTTCATATAAATATTAGATTGGCCTTACCAGATTCCACAAAAATTTCTCTTGAAAAATCTACTGGATTAATATCAAATCTAAAAATCAACCTGGAAATCATTGCCCCGTTTAGTGCTTGAGGCTATAGGTATAATTCTCCTATGAATATTTTGCATGCATTTCATGTACATTTAAAAATATAGATGAAATTATATGAGATGTAATCTCTTCTATAGGATTTATTTCTTTGAATAAAATATATGAAGATTAATCTTTCTTGCATGAAATTGCAGCATGTTTATTGTACTTATTGCTCTGTAGCTTCAATTAAGTTAACTAGATAATTTTAAAACAAATCACTTGATGGGGAAAAAATCTGAGGTAATAATATCATGAACAACATGATTTAGATGTCAAAATGTATTTTCCTACTCAGATCACCCTGATTTGGGTCTATAAGTGACTTAATTTGGCTTTCCACTTATAATTCTTCTGAAATATTGTTTTCTCAAAAATTGTCATTATTTTGCTAATGTAAAGACTTAAAATATTTCTATGAATTTCTAACATTTTAGCCTTTCTGACATTCTTGTTTAAATGGTTTTATTCCTATGTTGATGAATTTATTAGTTTGTAAATTGCTGCCTGATATTCCTTTAAATTTTAGGTTAGATCTCAGGGAGAAGTGTTTACTTTCTGCCATCTTAATCCTGTATTCTATGCCGCTCTTAATTTTACTTTTGCTATTTTCTACTTACTCATTACATTTTGGTAATAATTATAGCTTATATTTCCAAATATTCACTACAGTTCTTTCTCCTGTCTTCTTGTCATGTTTTTGATGTTTTTATAATATATGCAATAGAAAGAGACACAGTAAAACAAAATTTTGTATTAATGATTCCTGAGAATGCCTTGAAAATTATGTGCAACATATACATATTATCATCAAAGAAGCCTCATATTTGGCTGCACTGAAATATATTATAGAAAGTGTGCTTACTGATATATTTAACAGCATAATCTTACATGAATATTTAAAGTATTAATATATTACATTAGGCAATAAGAAAGTAGAATAAACTTGCAAGAAGTTATTGTAATAATTTTTAAACATTTCACACTGAATTTTTAGTGAATTTGAGCCAGTTTCACCACTTTGAATATGTTATTGAATAATAGTGCAATGTATATATCTTTTAGTTAATAAAAGCTACTCTGATCACAAATTGTAAAACATACAGCATTCTAAATCTATTTTGTTTATTTATTTTTTGTAGTTCTAAATACACACCAATTTCCCTCAGATTTTGGAATTTATCTTGTGCAAAAGCCGTAGTAAATGCCGTAAATTTAGCATGAAACTATTTTTCTTTTTACTGGTCTCATTTCATGATGCTTAATATCTTCCTTTACTATATTTGAACTTGAAAAAGATTAAGGTAAATTGAAAAATTGAATACTGTCTAATATTTCAAAATATCCTTAAGAAAAATAAGACCTTTACCCAGGTGGAAGGAGTTGAGATTTACTGGATTCTACAATTTTTATTCTCTAAACTATTTACAGATATCATTTTTAGTCTCACTGTCTTGTTTTCTTAGCAATAGATTTTCTGTACTACTTGAGATATTGAATCCAAGACAAGTGCAAATTCTATTCTCCTTTTCACATCCTGTTGCCTGAAACGCAAGGTTGTGAATCTTCAACATTTCTTACAATTTTCAGCATGATTTAGGCGTTGTAGTTGAATAGATATTCATCAGTAGTTTTTTCAAAGCACAGTAGTTTCTTATTTTTCTTCAAGAATATTATACTGTGGCAAGTATTTTTTCTTTCAATATTTAATTCCATCAAGTAAGTATGCCATAGTTTTGAAAAGCAAAGTTGAATTTATATATGCATTTTATTAAAAAACTTTTTAAATATTGACAGATAAATGCCTAAATGACGAAGTTGAAGTAATATAAAATTACCTTGTATTTTCTTTCCCTTGTCCAGTTTTTCAGTAATCAAACTGCTCTAATAATTACTTTGTAACTTTTTATTTAAAAGTAAATATTTAATGCTTTATATGATACCTGATGGAACCTGTTTTCTTAAAAATTAATATAAGTTGTTTATGGAAGCTTTGAGAACTCCATTTAGCAGGTATACTATGTGTAATCTGAAGAAAATTGTGAGAATAAGTTATTTCAAAAGCTTATCAGTGGCATTTTATTTTATAAGATGATCTTATTAATTATTCAGAAAACATGATGCTATTTAAACTAATTCTCGTGCTTTCCCATTCTTGATAGTGCTATGTATATTTGTAATCTGTTAATTTTAATTAAATTACACTTGTTTACTCAAGAACACACATTTATTTGAAAGAAAGAAAATATCTCTAATTGAATCTGAGACATGCATCTGAAATTTTAGTATCTATAATATCATGGTATTCATTTTAAACTTTGGGATAAAATCCAACAGTTTTTTGTTGTTGTTGCTTTGTTTGTTTTGTTTTGTTTTGTTTTGCTTGTTTTGAGACGGAGTCTCACTCTGTTGCCAGGCTGGAGTGCAGTGGTGCGATCTTGGCTCACTGCAGTCTTCACCTCCCTGGTTCAAGTGATTCTCCTGTCTGAGCCTCTTGAGTAGCTGGGATTACAGGAGCATGCCGCCATGCCTGGTTAATTTTTTTTTTTTTTTTTGTATTTTAGTGGAGACGGGGTTTCACCGTGTTGCCCAGGCTGGTCTCGAACTCCATAGCTCGGGCAATCCGCCTGTCTCGGCCTTCTAAAGGGCTGGGATTACAAGCGTGAGCCACCACGCCCAGCTCAGGTTTTTGTTTTGATGCTCAAATTGTCCCAGGCTTTTATTGGCTCTTCCAGTTGGCTTAAGGGAGAACGGTGTTAAAACCTACCATATAGTTAGGTTGATTTTTTTTAATTTGTTGTTTTCTTAATCAGAGCATAACTTTAAACCTAGTAATCAAAACTTAGATTTATAAAAAAACTGGCAAACTCTGTCCCATCAAAGTGGCTATACTATTTCCAACTGCCCCCATCAAATGGTACTGACTTCCCTAGGCTTTTGTTTGACTGAACTTCTTAACTTTTCCTTTACTTCTAAGAATAAAAGTTCACTGGAAATAGGACATAAAGCCTAAAGATTTCTGTCCACACTTTTCTTTCTTGCATTGTTTCCAATGAAATTTTCACTGTAATTCCTCTGCATGTACCCCTATAGATAAGGTGTTTTTGTTTGTTAACTCTGGCTTTGATCCAGATTTTCTCTTTATATTTAATTTTCTGCATTTTGAATATGATATGCCTTAGGTGCAGTTTGCTTTGTATGTATTCTAAGGGTTCTATGGGCCTGTGATCTGTAGTTTTGTGCTTGTCATTAGTTTGGGCAAATTTTAAACAATTATTAATTCAAATAGTTATTCTGCCCTTTGTCTCTTTTTTCTCTTGTGTCGTTACCATTTTGCATAAGTTGCACATTTTAAAACTTTATTACAGTTTATGGATATTCTATTCTGATTAAAATTACTGTTGTTATTATTATTATATCATTTTTTTCACTTAAATTTGGCAAGTTTCTATGGACCAATCGCCAAGCTGACTTATTTTTTCCATGGGCAGCTCAAGTCTACTGGTGACCCCAACAAAGGCATTCTTCATGCTGTCAGAGTGCTTTATGATTTCTGGCATTTCCTTATGTGCTTTCTAACAGGTTTCTATCTCTTTTCTTTAACTAGCCATTTGTTCTTTCATGTTTTCTGCATTTTCCATTTGTTATTTATCATACTTATTTTAAATTTTCTTCCTTAATTTCTACATCTGTGTCATATCTGAGTCTGATTCTGATGCTTGCTTTGTCTCTTCAAACTATGTTTTGCACTCCATTTTACCATAATCTATAATTTTATGTTGTTGAAAGCTAGAAATAATATATTGGAAAATAGGAATTGAGGTAAATAGCCTTTTGGACAGAGGTTTTATGTTTGTTTGGCTAAAAGTTGGACTGCATTTAATGTTTGCTATACATAGATTCCAGAGGCTTCATATTTTTATACTATGTTTTTCTTTTCCTTATTGACTTAGAGCTTTTCAAAGCACCCCTGTATCTGCATCTTACAGCTCTTTCATGGTAATTTACTATTATTATATTGGAGCCCTATTGCTGTGGTGGTAAGGTATCAAGGGAGTGTATTATTGGATTAGTCCTTTCTCTCATTGCTATAAATAACTAATTAAGACTGGGTAATTTATAAAGAAAAAAGGTTTAATTGACTCACAATTCCACAGACTGTACAGGAAGCATGGCTGGCAAGACCATAGGAAACTTACAATTATGGCAGAAGGTAAAGGGGAAGCCAGCATGTCCTTCATAGCTGGAGAAGGAGGAAGAGAGAGCAAAAGGGAAGATCCTACACACTTTCAAACAACCAGATCTCATGATATCTCTATCATGAGTTAATACTAGGAGAATAGTACTAAACCATTAAAAACCACCCCTATCATCCAATCACCTCCCACCAGGCTCCACCTTTAACAATGAATATTACAATTCAACATGGGATTTGGGTGGGGACACAGAGCCAAACCATGTCATTCTGCCCCTGGCCTCTCCCAAATCTCATGTCTTCTCACATTGCAAAACACAATCACGCCTTCCTAATAGACCCCCGAATCTTAACTCATTCTAGCATTAACTCAAAAATCCAAGTCTAAAGTCTCATCTGAGACAAGGCAAGTCCCTTCCACCTATGAGCCTGTAAAATCATGAACAAGTGAGTTACCTACATGAGACAATGGAAATAGAAACATTGCACAAATGCTTCCATTCCAAAAGAGAGAAATCGGCCAATATGAAGGGGCTACGGTCCCTATGCAAGTCCAAAACCCAGCAGGACCATCACTAAATCTCAAAGCTCCAAAATAATCTCTTTTGACGCTATGTCTCACATCCTCTGACCACATCAATACAAGAGGTAATTTCCCAAGGACTTGGGCAGCTTTGTGCCTGTAGCTCTGCATGGTTCAGGCCCCATGGCTGCTTTCACAGGCTGGTGTTGAGTACCTACGGCTTTTCCAGGTGCACAATGAAAGCTGTTGGTGGATCTATTATTCTGGGGTCTGGAGGATGGTGGCACACTTCTCACAGCTCCCATAGGCAGTGTCCCAGGGGGACTCTGTGTGGGGTCTCCACATTTCTTCTGTGCACTGCCCTAGTAGAGGTTCTCCATGAGGGCTCTACCCCTGCAGCAGACTCCTGCCTGGACATCCAGGTGTTTTCATCCTCTGAAATCTAGGCAGAGGCTTCCTAACTTTAACTCTTGCCCTTTGTGTAATCACAGATTTAACACCACATGGAAGCCACCAAGGCTTGTGGCTTGTACTCTCTGGAGCAGTGGTCTGAGATGTATCCAGGGCCCTTTTAGCCATGGCTGGAGCTGGAGTGGCTGGGATGCAGAATGCCATGTCCTGAGGCTGCACAAAGCGGTGGAGCCCTGGGCCTGGCCCAGGAAACCATTTTTTCCCTCTAGGCCACTGGACTTGTGATGGTAGGAGCTGTCACAAAGGTCTCTGAAATACCTTGGCTGTATTTTCCTCATTGTCTTGGATATTCAGCTTATCTTTATTTATGCAAATTTCTGTAGTAGGCTTGAATTCTTCCCCAGAAAATGGGTTTTCCTTTTCTACCACATGGTCAGGATACATTTTTTAAATTTTCATGCTCTGCTTCCCTTTTAAATGTAAGTTCTGTTTCAAATAATATCTTTGCACAACACATATGAGTATATAATGTCAGAAGCAGCCAGGGAATATCTTGAATGCTTTGCTACAAGAAGTTTCTCCTGCCAGATACCCTAAATCATATGTTGCAAGTTTAAAGTTATGCAGATCTCTGGAGCAGGGGCACAGTGCCAAGAGTCTCTTTGCTGAAGCACAGCAAGACTGACCTTTACTCCAGTTCCCGATATGTTTCTCATCTCCATCTGGGAGCACTTCAGCCCGGACTTCATTGTACATATAACTATTATCATTTTGGTCACAACAATTTAACAAGTCTTTAGGAAGTTAAAAACTTTCCCTCATCTCCTTGTCTTTTACTGAGCCCTCAAAACTGTTCCAACCTTTGTCCAAAGTCAGTTCCACATTTGCAGATGTCTTTATAGTAATGCCGCACTTTCCTGGTACCAATTTTCTATATTAGTTCATTTTTATATTGCTATAAAGAACTACCTAACTCTGGGTTTTTATAAAGAAAAGAGCTTTAATTGACTCACAGTTCCACAGGCTGTATAAGAAGCATGGCTGGTATGTCCTCAGGAAACTCATAATCATGGTGGAAAGAGAAGCTGGCATGTCTTACGTGGCTGGAGCAGGAGGAAGAGAGGGAGAAAGGGAGATGCTTCATACCTTCAAACAACCCAATCTCATTATAGCTCTATCATGAGACAGAACTAGGGGGATAGTGCTAAATCGTTAGAAACCACCCCCATGATCAAATCACCACCCACCAGGCTCTGCCTCCAAAACTGGAGATTACAATTCAACATGAGATTTGGGGGGGAACACAGAGCCAAATCATATCAATTATATACCTTTTAAAAATTTTCTCCCCCTTATGTGATACTGGAAAACTATAGGATACCTGTAGGAGAATACCCTACCCTCAAGTCAGATAAGACTCAGGTAATGTATTTTCCCCTGTAGAGCACACCTTTAAATGAACAATGCTCTCATAATATTTCACAGTGACAAGTCTGCCACTTCCCAAACTCAGTAGTCAAGATGCAATTTTTATTAGTTCTTCAATGCCACAAACTGGTGGGGGATCAGAGGTAGAACACACAACTGTGTGGAGACCTTCTAGGACTCCATGCCTAAGGAGCTTCTCACTCTGACCATCCTTCACAATTACCCTTCAGCATTTGATCAAAATTACCATTTAAGTGTTCTTGGTTATGATTCTGGAAATTCTGTCCCATGAAAACAGAACTTAGCTGTGACTTTTTAGATTTGTGTGTCTCCAGATTTTTGGATGGTAGTTTGTGCCTGTGTCCTTAATTTTCTCCTGGGTAGAAGAACATCATTGATATTCAGTTTGTTCAGATTTTGCTTACAATAAGCAGGAGTAAAAAAAGTTCTGTTCAGCCCTTTATATGTGGGACCTGAAACTGGAGTCCAGAAACTCCAAGCGTTTTTAACAAGATTTACTTCTTAAAATATTTTAATTAATCCCCATGTATTAGTCAGGGACAGGACTAATAGGATAGATGTATATATAAAGGGGAATTTATTAAGGAGTACTGACTCACATGATCACAAGGTCAAGTCCCACAATAGGCTGGCTACAATCGGAGGAGCAAGGAAGCCAGTCCGAGTTCCGAAACCTCAAAAGTAGGGAAGTCAACAGTGCAGCTTTCATTCTGTGGCCAAAGGCTCGAGAGCCCTTGAAAAACCACTGGTATAAGTCCAAGAGTCCAAAAGCTGAAGAACTTGGAGTCTGATGTTCACGGTCAGGAAGCATCCAGCATGGGCGAAAAATGAAGGCTGAAAGACTCAGCCAGTTTAGTCCTTCCATGTTCCTCTGCTCGCTTTTATCCTAGCCATGCTGGCAGCTTACTAGATGGTGCCCACCCAGATTGAGGCTGGGTTTGCCTTTCCCAGTCCACTGACTCGAACATTAGTGTGCTTTGTCAATACCCTCACAAACACGCCCAGGAACAATACCTTGCATCCTTTAATCCAGTCAGGCTGACACTCAGTATTAACCATCACAAGTCCATGGCTTGTAAACTTGAACCCATACACATCTCCTGAAATCATACATAATCTTCAAATAAAGACAATAATAAGTCACAAGTATGCCTAACATAATACAGCTATCCTTTGTACAACCCGAAAGTGCACCAATTCCCAACACAAATGCCATTACATACATTTAAAAACATTTAAATACTGATACAAAGTCAATAAATCTTATATCACACGATAAAGGAAAAAGGAAATAAAAATGAAGATACATTTTTAGTACAAGTCTATACATGCACAAACATGTTCTTAACAAAAGGAGGAGGAAATATGACAATTTTAGTCCTCATTTCTGCAACTGGTCATGTGGTCATAGCTGGTATTGATGTCTACCTTCTTCTGCTCCTCATTCTGTAGTCCCCTTGCCTTCAGCAAGCACCTCAGCAGGTAGTGGTTTTTTACCTGGCGAAGTGACCCAAGCCTTCATGCCTGAAGGGTCTGGGCCATTTGTGGTCCTGCCTGGATTGGGCTATTGTAGTTTCCCATTGACCTTAATCACAGGGCATGGCAATACTAAAAGATGGCCTAAAAGATCTCCTGTATTCCATGCATACTCCTCCTTGCCTCCCTTGTGAAGTAATATACTGATTGCCTCCTGATAGTCTGGTTCAATCACCACAGGCAACACTGTAACTCCCTTCTTAGCCTGTTGACTTCGAAGCAGGAGGAGCCCAAAATGGCTGAGTGGAAATCTTAACTTTCAGTTTAATGTAATCGTTGTTGTGTCTCCTGGTGGCAGCACTACTCTCTCTGGAACTAAGACCTCTAGGCCAGCAGAACATAATGTGAAAATAGGAAGCAAAAATTTTGCTAGTGGGTCACTAGGGGTGATAGTGAGTGATGCTGGCTCCACTACCACACCTTGATTCCTCGACCTGTGAATCCTGGCTATGGGAGAAACAGTACCATATATTGGACACTGATTCAGAGCATACACAGCCTTATGGATAACTTTTTTTCCCAACCCTGCAAAGTATTGTCACTTAGTTAGTGTTATAATTGTGATTTCAAAAGGCCATTCCACATTCTATCAATCTAGCTGCTTCAGAATGAATGGAGAACATGGGAAGACCAGTAAATTCCATCAGCATGAGCCCACTGACACACTTCTTTAGCTAAAGTGAGTGCCTTGGTCAGAGGCAATGCTACATGGAACACCATGAAGGTGGATAAGGCATTTTGTGAGTCCACTGATGGTAGTCTTGGTAGAAGCATTGTGTGAAGGATAAGCAACCTCTATCTGGATTAAGTGTCTATTTCAGTCAGGACAAACCACTGCCCTTTCCATGATGAAAGAGGTCCAATATAATTAACCTGCCACCAAGTAGCCAGTTGATTACCCCGAGGAATGGTGCCATATCAAGGGCTCAGTGTTGGTATCTGCTGCTGGCAAATTGGGCACTCAGTGGTGGCCGTAGCCAGGTCAACCTTGGTTGGTGGAAGTCCATGTTGCTGAGCCCATGCGTAACCTCCATCCCTGCCACCATGGCCACTTTGTTCATGGTCCCATTGGGCAATGACAGGAATGGCTGGGGAAGGAGGCTGAGTGGTGTCCACAGAATGAGTCATCCTATCTACTTGATTAGTAAGATCCTCCTATGCTGAGATCACCCTTTGGTGAGCACTCATATGAGATACAAATATCTTCACAGTTTTGACCACTGTAAGAAATTCATCCACATACCTCTTCCCCAAATTTTTGTCTCAAATTTTCCAATCATGCTTCATCCAAGTCCCTGACCATCCAGCCAATCTAGTGGCTACAGCCCATGAATCAGTATATAATTGCACATCTGGCGATTTCTTTTTCCAAGGAAAATGAATAACCAGGTGCACTTTTTGAAGTTCTGCCCACTGGGAAAATTTCCGTTTGCCACTGTCCTTCAAGGATGTCCTAGAAAGGGGCTGTAGTGCTGCAGCTGTCTACTTTTGGGTGGTGCCTGCATATCATGCAGAACCATCTGTGAACCAGGCCCTAGTCTTCTCTTCCTCTGTCAACTGATCATAGGGAACTCCCCATGAGGCCATTGATGCAGGCTGGGGGAAAGAAGGCAGGGTGGCAAGAGTGGGGACCATGGGCATTTGAGCCACTTCCTCATGTAACTTACTTGTACCTTCAGGACCTTTTCAAGCCCAGTGCCATATATATCACTTCCATTTGATGACGGAATGCTGCTGTGCATGACCCGCTTTATGGCTAGATGAGTCAGAAAGCACCCAGTTTATGATAGGTAGTTCAAGTAGCATGGTTATTTGGTGACTCATAGTCAAATGTTCAGTTTCTACCAAAGCCCAGTAACAGGCCAAGAGCTCTCTCAAAAGGAGAGTAGTTATCTGCAGAAGATGGCAGGGCCTTGCTCCAATATTCTGGAGGCCTCCACTGTGATGCACCTATGGGGTCTGCCAAAGGTTCCAAACAGCATACCTATCTGCCACTGACACCTCAAGCACCATTGGATCTGCTGGTTATATGGCCCAAGTGGCAGAGCATCTTGCACAGTAGTCTGGAACTGTTGCAGAGCCTTCTCCTGTTCTGGACCCCACTCAAAACTGGCAGCCTTTTGGGTCACTCAGTAAATGGGCTGGAGTGACACACCCAAATAAAGAATATGTTGCTTCCAAAATCAAAATAGGCACACTAGGCATTGTGTCTCTTTCTTGGGGCAGGAGGGGCCAAATGAAGCAATTTATCTTTCACCTTAGAAGGAATATCTCAACAGGCCCCATACCACTGGACCCTTAGGAATTTTACTCAGGTAGAAGTTCTCTGAATTTTAGTTGAATTTGTTTCCCATCCCCTGGCATGCAAATGTCTCACCAATGCTACTTCTTGCTTAGTGGATCCAATCAATTAGCATACTGTCATCAATGTAATGGACCTGTGTGCTATCTTGTGGAAGCGAAAAGCAATCAAAGTCTCTTTGAACAAGATTATGACACAAAGCTGGAGAGTTGATATACCCCTGAGGTAGGACAGTAAAGGTCCAATTTGCCTAAAGGCAAATTGCTTCTGGTGGGCCTTATGCACAGAAATGGAGAAAAAGGCAATTTGCCAAATCAATGGCTGCATACTAAAAACCAGGAGATTTGTTTATTTGCTCAAGCAATGTAACCACATCCGGTACAGTAGCTACAATTAAAGTCACAACTTGGTTAAGCTTATGATAATCCACTCTCATTCTTCAGGATTCATCTGTCTTCTGCACAGGCCCATTGGGAGAGTTGAATGGGCATCTGGTGGGAATCACCACCCCTGAATCTTTCAACTCCTTGATGATGGCACAAATCTCTGCAATCCCTCCAGGGATGCAATATTGTTTATGATTTACTATTTTTCTAGGTAGAGGCTTCGATTTGGCCTTTCCCACTGTAATACCCCTCCCTTACCAATCCGGCAGCTAATGTGGGAGTTCTGCCAACTACTAAGTAATGTCTATGCCAATTATGCATTCTGGAACTGGGGAAATGACCACAGGATGGACCCACTGTAAATCAGACCTGAGCAAACACTCCATTAATTACCTGACTTCCATAAACCCCTACTTTAACTGGAGGACCACAATGATGTTTGGGGTTCCCTGGAGTCAATATCACCTCTGAGCCAGTGTCCATTCATTCCCCAAAAGTCTGATTATTCCTCTTTTTGCAATGCACAGTTACTCTGGTAAAAGTTTGGAGGTCTTGTTGAGGAAGGATATTTGTTTGTTCAGCTCTTGCTTACAATAAGCAAAAATATTAAAAGATCCCCCTCTTTATATGTAGAATCTCAAACTGCAGTTCAGAAACTCTAAGCATTTTTTAAAATATTTACTTCTTAAAATATTTTAATTAATCCCCACAACCAAACTCTAAGGGATTCAAAATTATCTCTTATATTATATAGATGAGAAAAAAATAAGGCCAGGTAACGGTTAAATAACTTTTTCACAGTGAAATAGCTTATAAAAAGTAGAGCCAGGTAAAACTACTGGTTGAAATCCAATGCCCAATTTCCCAACTGTGATGCTACAGTGCTTTCGAATTCTCTATTGCCTCTCAAGCATCTCAAGAGGTATTTTCACTAATAAGCGCTTAATCCAATAAGGACAGAATAAAGCTCTTGTCTTTAAAACGTCATGCAATCTGTACACTAGATAATTTGAAAGTCTATTACTTCTCTAAATTGTCATGTGCTAGCACTTTCTTCATTTAGCACTCTTGAAGGAGCTGGTGTTGTTGAAACATACCATGCCACTTTTGAATCTGTTTAGTAAATGCCATATACATTTGGTTCTATGAGAAGAGGAAGTGTGTGGCCATGCATGTAGTCAGCACTTTGTATTATGTGAGCTCATGAAAATTTAATAGGGTAAAATATAGCAGTGTGTAGTCAAGTAACCAATATTTTCCAACATTTTGGATGAAAACTTGAAAAATACTGCTATTTTTAGAGGTAGTCAGTGTGTAATGTTTCTAGCGATTATCTGTACTAGACTATTATTTGGAAGTTTATGGTGTTTAAATTTTAGAGTGCAAAGGTTGGATTGTGTTCCAAGAATCTAAACAATTGTTCATTTTGTAATCATTTTTTAGAGTACCAATTAATAAAGTAAAAGCAATACTGATTTATTATAGAACCTTTTAATGAAACTGAAAATAACTACAAGAAGAATAAAATCAACATACAAAATATTCTATTAAAAATGGAAAAAATAAATGCTTCTTGCACTATGGAATCGCCCAGAATTAAAATAAAAAATGTTCAAGGATTATGTAAGTGGGTGATTATAGGATGGAAGCAAACAGTGCATGTAGAAAAATTCTTAATATCTAGTGGCTATTTCTGAACAATCAATTTATATTTAAAATTTGTTTGAAAAGGTATTGATGAAAAAATTCAAAACATAAAATACAATATTATTTGTAATAGTCGGAAAAAGAATAGGCATAAATACATGGTTGGAAGTAAAGGAAGGAAGAAAAAATTAATTGGTCTCAATAATAATGTTGTGAAAATAAATACTAGACCTTGTTTTTAAATGTGTAAGTTAAAATAAGATGAAAAAAACTAGAAGCCTTACTACAAATAAATGGTCTATATTTTGCTCATTTTTATTTTGTTTCACTTAAGGTATATATGACTATTCACTCTGACAAACTATTTGTTTTTAAATGTTATATTTTGTACTTGAAAGGCATTTAAAAATAATATTGTTATGCTAACCCTGTATTTGATTCTATTTTGGAAAAAGAAAGATGGTTAATCTCTTTTGTTGAAGATTCATTTGATATGCAAATTTAAACAGGCAGTATTGTCAGGTTGTGATTAAGGTTCTAATTTACTAATGCTGGGAAGGTACTACAATGTAATTTACAAGGTAAATTATGAGCAACATGTTTTATCAGATGGCTTTTCAAAATGGACTCTCATTTCTACATATATCTGGAACACAAGTCATAGCATTCAGTGTCTTTGACACTGATTTCGGCATAGCAAGAAAAATCCTACAGCAGGCCATCTAGAATATTTCCCAATGTCAAATCCATAAGATTTTTTTTAATGTATTGGAACAAAACACATATAATATATATATATGTGTGTTTCTATAAATTACGTATAGTTTTGGTTCTTACAGCATATATTTTGAGTAAGAGCATAATAAAATATTAGGAATATTTGTGATTTGTAACAAGGTTCATGAAGCAAGAAGCAAGCTACATAATAAGGGAGATAATATTAAATCATATCCTTGGATAATTAACAAAAACAAGGAAAATCTACTTGCCTTTACAAATTAAAAATTACAAGCAGCTCTTTAATAAGAATTATAAATGATTAGTATTTTTTGTGTTTGATGCTATTGTTTGTGTCCCCCCAAAATTCAAATGTTGAAACCTAACTCCACACCTACCTGCTGGCAGTGGAGAAACAGAAAAAAAAAGGAGGGAAGGAAAGAAGGAAGAAAAAATGGAGGAAGGAAGGAAGGGAGGGAGGGAGGAAGGGAGGAGGGGAGGGGAGGGAGGAGGGAGGGAGGGAAAGTAAAGAGATATAGCAAAATGGGTATTGAGGAATTAAATGTGGCAACATCTTCTGAAGGTAGTTATGGAGAAAAGGAAAATAGACAACCCAATGTATCTCTCCTTAGACTGGAAATTCTTCATGCCAGGACAGCAGAGTACACCACTAGGGTTAATCCTAAACCTCCAGACTGTCTCGAAGAAACTGAAGATGAGGGGAGGTGAGCACCGTGGCCCCTACTGTGACAGGAAGGGCAAAGCTCCCCTCAAGGTAGGGTCATTCAGGGAGACCAAAGGCCCCATGTGGAAATAGTGATTCATTGGTCCCCTTGAAACAAAGAGTTTAGGCTCTGGTAGATACTTAGCTGCATATACTCCAATACATGGTAATCCTCACAAATTTTCTGGACATCTAGTTTATATAGATGGATACAGAGATTCAGCCAGTCCTGTGAGATGAACACATTTATTGTTGCAAATTAGGCATGCTCCACCCACCCTACAATGGGCCAACATCTCCCCAATCCCAGGAAACATGTAGGGGATAGATACTTTCCTGGGAGCTTCCTTTGAAACAATTTGCAGTAGGCAAATTCCATCTCTGGGTTAGAATGACAGAAGGCTTGCTCCAAAGGGAAGTTAAATGGAAGCCAGTGGTGTTACCCTCCTCTGGACTAGTGGTGTATATATAACGTCTTCCAGGAGGGCACTGAGATAGAGGCTACTATTCAGAAACTGGAGAAGGTGGGCATTGTGCATCCTGCACAGAGCCCATACAGCATCACTGCATGGTTGGTAACAAAGCCTGATGGCACCTGGAGGACGATAGTTGATTTCCAGCAACTAAACGAGATGACCTTCGCCATACAAGCTGCTGTCCCAAATGTGACTCAAATTTTAGAAAGGCCGACTACTTGGTTAGGTAGTTCGCATACTGTCCCGATTCAGCAAATGCTTTCTTTAGCATACCCTTAGACCCAAACTTCCAGGATATGTTTGCCCTCACTTTGGAGGGTCAACAATGAATCAGGCACTCCTTCAGATGTACTTACATCGTCCCACTATCTCCCATAGTTGGTGGCTGGGGGACCTGGCTGTTTTGAGTGATATATACAGCATTCACTGGGAGCATTATGTGAATGATATGATAGCTACAGGTTTGAGTCTTGCAGAAGACTACCCAATAAGTTCTAGAGCACCTGTCATCCAGAGAATGGGATGTCAACCTGCAGAAAGCCCAGGGGCCAGGAGGCACAGTAGAATTCCTTCATAGTCTGGTTGGGTAATACTGGATTGTGCCAACAGCCATGATTGGCAAGAAACCTGGATACCCACAGTCCCAAACAATTAAATAATTACAAACATTTGTAGGTCTGCTAGGATATTGGAGGACCTTTGTTTCCCACTTGTTAGATAGATATAAGATGATAGACAGATAAATAGATTTTTTTTTTACACACGGTCTCATTCAATTGCCCAGGAAGGTGTGCAGTAGTGTCCTTGTCATAGCTCACTGCAGCCTGAAATTCCAGGGCTCAAGGGATCCTTCTTCCTCAGCTTCCGAAGTAGCCAGATATTTTTTATCTCAGTGAGTATAACTGGATTTGCATGGGTTGTTTTTTTTGTTTTGTTTTTGTTTTTGTTTGCTTTTCTTCTTTTTTATGAGCAACATATCAAACATTATTTTAAATGCATATAAATAATTTATGAACATGCACCTTTCAAACATAAATGTGTAAGTATGTTTTCAAAGTTAAAAAGTATCATCGGAGTGACCACCCTTATAGTTTTGGTGAATCTGAAAAACACTATTTAGAAAAATTCCTGATTAATGCAATGTAATGCTGTTCATGGCATATCATCATAGTGCTTATAAGTGGTTGGTATGGTTTATGCTCACGAGACATGCCAAAACTGACAGGTGCTTCCCATAGCCTCTTTCATCCTACCTCCCCAGATTGCTTCTAAACTAGATATTGTGCTTCAAACTTCCACAGTGTTAAACTGAATTAAATTTGAAACCTCACAGATTGTATTTTGCCAAGACCTAGGTGAGATATTGCAAATTGGATGATTACTTTTTCATACAAATTATACAGGAGGTGGAAATACTTGAAACAACAAATACATAAAATAAAAGCAATCTAGGATAGCTTTGTATCTAGAAAACATAATAAAGTTTTCCTTTTAATAAATATATTTTTGAAGAAATATAACTCCTTAGTAAAATAACTTTAAAAGCACATGGGTCTTTATCTTGATTAAAGGTGAGAACATTAACTTCTAAATAATTTATGCTAGTTTAGTGCCAACTTTAATAAACAAATTTCCTCCTGTCTTAACTGGAGCTCATTTGTGGGTACAGTACAATTTCTTTCTCAAGAAATAAAACTAAACACAAAACATCTTTAAACACAGCTTGGCACTTGAAAATATAAGAAGACTGACATTGTGGAAGTGGTTACATTTTTATTTAAATTTTCATTATACAATAATTTTCAAGAAACGTTTATAAGATCCAACTGTATTATGTTTAAAGAGCAAATTTAATATATAATTTAACACTCATTTTATAGGTAACTAGATGTGTTTGAGAGGAAAATATAATACTTTAGATGGAGAAGAAAGAACAATAAGAATAAATTCAAATGTGTATATGAAAAAGGTTTCCTGTGGTGAGGGGTTTCTGAAATCTGGGGTGCCCATTAGAAAAATAAATAAAAGCTATTAAAAACAGTTGAAGAATGTGCATAGGCAAGAGATACAAATGCCTAAAGTGAGTTTATTAAACTTTATAAATTTAGCCAGTTAATGTAAAAATTTATATTTGCATAAATATTTTATTAGTATTTATAGCATGGATGCAGTTTAATAAAATTTGTAATTTCTGGTTATTTTCACAAAATAATTGAAAACAGGGTGACTGTGATATTTGAATAGATATTTGTATACCTATATTCATGGCAGCACTATTGACAATAGCCAAAAGATAAAGGCAACTAAAGAGTCTACCATGTTAAATGAATCAACAAGTTGTGGTATGCAGTATACATACAAAGGAGTATCATTCAGCCTGAAAATGGAAGGAAATTCCTACATATGCAACAACATGGATGAACCTTGAGGATACTATGCTAAATGAAGTAAGTCAGTGTCACAAAAAGACAAACATGTATGATTCCAATTTTATGAGGGACTCAGAGTAAGCAAATTCACAAGGACCAAAAGTAGAAGAATAGTTGCCAGGGTCTATGCGAAGGGGAGAATAGGTAGTTGTTGTTTAATGGGTATAGAGTTTCAGTTTTGTAAAATAAAAAGAGTTCTGGAAATTTGTTGCATGACAATATGAATGTACTTAACACTATTAAACTCTACATGTACTAACTTAAACATGGTTAAGATGGTAAATTTTATGTGTATTTTACCACAATTTTTAATCTAAGGAGATTTTAAAAGTAATTTTAACTGTAATATGTCCTGTTTTTCTAGAAATGGGCAGTTTTATTATATAATATTTAAATTTATTTTTCTAAATACTGACGCAAAAGTTTTATAATAAGCCCAAGGACTTTTTATCATTAAATTAGGACAATAATGAGATGGTAGAAAAGTTAAAGACATCACAAGGCAATTAAAGTATGCAATTTAAGGAAAAACAGATATTTCCCTTTTCTACAAATTTTGAAGTTTTATATATTTTGTATGAGCACATAAGGTACAATGAGAAAAATTAATATGTGTGTAATATTTTATATGTAAAATATGCATTTTCATTGATATTGCTAGTTTTAAGTATATTAGTTCTTTCTACATTATTGGCAAATATTTAGTAGAATGTGTTCAGCTTTGTACTGTTTTAAACTTTATATAGTTCTTAATTGTCCTATACATTGTCTAGCAATTGTTAGTTTCGATGGCCATAGATTACTATGAGCATTAACTTGTATTGTATTAATACTTCTGAATTCAGTCTCCAGTTGTAGAAGAGTGAAAACATAACATTGTTTTCTTGTGAAGATATTCTCTGTTTTCATTTTATTCTTACCAAAAACCTCTTCAGTAATAATTTACATGTCACTGTTAACAGGTACATTCCATCATCCTAACAACACACAGTTATTTAATTGCTATATATTATTTATGTTATTTTATAAGGCTATTTTACCCTTCATATAAAAGTTAGATACCTGACATCCCCTGTTATCTTCACTATGATACTTATACACAACATGATCAACCTTGTTCTTTCTTTTCTATTAATGACATCCATAATTGTTTGTGGCATCCATAAATGTTTTATGCTTTAATACCTAATTAACTTCTATAATCTGACTGTATGCTTCTTATTTTATTTTATTTTAATATCTGTAGAAATAATTAGATAAATAGTAGAGATATGAATAATGAGAAGCCAAAGGATATGATTAAAAACAAGTTGAGACTAAAAGGGACGTATATTAAATTTTATAAAAATTGATTTTAACTGTTAGATAAAAAAGAATTCCTTATGGAGTTTTGTTTACTATTTGCATGGCCTAATAGTTTCACTGCAATATTCTCATTGCAATGATAGAGATAAAGGGCATTTAATTATTTTTCTTAAACTTAGCAGGAAATGATCTAGTTATTTTTCACATATCTACTCATAAGCTCATAGAAATACTCAAGAAAAAGATAAGAGGAAAGCAATGAGTGAAGGATGGAAGAAGAGAAGAAAGAAAAGAAAGAGGGGTAGAAAGAATGAAAAATGGCAGAAAGCTATTTTTTCAGAAGAGCCAATTAATTCATGTTGAATGAAAGACTGAAAACCCACCATTTTGCAAATTACAATGCAATAACTAATTAGTGTATTAATTATAAATGGAAGCTAATGGCATAAATGGAAAGATACTGAGGCATAGCTTATTCACAGTGTTTAAAAGTATCAATGCATTAATTATTTTCCAATAACAGAGAAAAAATATACATACAAAATAAGGAGCTAAGACACAGTTTATGCAACATATAGAAAATTAGACACCGTCTGAATACAAACTGTCATCATGTGTCTGCTGATTTGAGGCAGTAAGAATTATACAACTTCATTATTAGTCACTGCTATTAAAGGTGTATAAAAAGACTCGGATCATAAGAAAACATTCAGATAATTCTAAAATGTGGGACATTCTATAAAAAATAATGCCAATGAATCAATGATATAAAGACAGACAAACAGAAATTCCCAAGGGTCAAAGGGGATCAAAGAGATATAGGAAACACAATGGCAACTTCCATTATTTCTTGAATAGGGAAACATAATTGTTGTATTTCTCTGTGTGTGTTGCATTTTTGGAACTATTATGAACCTTTGTGTATGGATTGTATATTAATTACACAACATTATCATTATAGAACTATACTTGATTTTCAGTTATAATGTTAATGGTATTATTTTATGATATCTATGCAGATGTATTCATGGTTGAAGTGTCAAAATATCTGCAACTTATTTTCGAACACTCAGAAAAAAATAGAACATTTGGAGAAAAACAAGAAGAGAGAGAAAAAGAGAAATTTTATCTTCTGAAGATAGCTTCTGTGACACAGTTTTTGAAATTTCCTCAAGTTTCTTCAACTCCTCTCCAAACGAAAACAAGTTAAACAACTATAGTAAAAAATATTGTAAAACATACATTTATAACAAAATTAAGCAAGTAAGTATCCCCAGTGCACTCCAAATGATGCAAACATGTGGGTCAAACCACTAAAAGCAATCAGAACCCTAGGTTATTATCAACGGTTCAGCAGAAACAGGAAGGAAGGCAAAGTGACTCATGATAGCCTCACAAATCTACAACAAAGAGTTACCATGTAATTTGAGAGACCATTGCTCCTTCTAGTAAGCATGGAAAGCCAAGCTGAGAATAGCTGCTCCAATAAAGAGAGGCTTCATCTTCAAGGACAGGGCACAATTACAGTGGGAAATATGTGAAACTTCTGGATCCTATGAACTCTCAAACTTTCTGAAGGTCACTTCCATTTGAAAGCTATACATTGAGGAGAACTTGTTAGGAGTAGAACCTGAATTCAGCAGGATAAGGCTGAAGTGAAAAATATGTATATATAACAGCAGTTTTCAGACACTGGATAGCAGACATCATAGAAAAGTAATTCCTGATAAAAGTGAAAATAAACAAGATGAGCCCTCCTGTTCACCAAGCTCACAACCTAGAGGTGATTAATACGTTTCAGGACAGGGAAGAAGAAAGCAGGTTCAGCTCAGTGACTTATAGAGACCGAGTTCGGTGTTTCGAGAGGCAAAGGTGTCTAGAGATTACAGACAAAGAACAAATAACAGAGCTGTAAGAGAAAGTTCTGTAGAGAGTTTCAGAGGATGCCCCATGAATCTCTATCTGAGTAGTAATTAGCACATGGGTATAAGGAACATTGCCAAGGCCGGGAAAGGAGCCACCCAAATGAAGTAGGTGAATCAACTCCTGGCGCTCTCACAGAAATAGAATATTTTTACCATGCCAGGTGAAAATAAATACACAATACAACGAACTTCAAGTAAATAATCAGAAGAGTATTACCTCAACAGTGGAACAGAATTATTAGTAAACTGAAGGCTGTTGTGTTGTTGGAATCCTGCCTAGCAAACCTGTGATACAATCCTGCCACAATCAAAGATTTTCCAGTAACTTGACCATGTTAAAGGACAGTGCTCAAGTTCTCCCAATGAGACATAGGAATGTGAATAGCCCTAGTTGTTGCTGTTTTAGTTAAATTTGTAGTTAACTTCCTCTAATGAGGAAACCACCAGATCTGGGTATCTTTACTGGTAAATTCTAGTAAGTATTTAAAAAGGACATAGCACCAAACACACACCCACATAAACTGTCACACACTCTTATGCAGTTTATACCAAATATTCATTCCTTACTAAAATTCATTTTTGTTATTAGCAACATTAGCAGAGGCAGACCACCAAATCTGGGATTTCTCCATGGTTCTGACTTCTATTATTTCACTTTTTTTTTTTCAATTCTCTCTCTACTTCGTCCCCCTTGTAGAAGATATCCAATTTGTCTTCTTGTTTCTTGCTGGTGTTTATTCGTTTTTGTTAGTTTGTTGCCTTGTCTAATATTGCTAATCATTCTTATTGGTTTGATCATACCTTTATAAAATTTACCCTCCTTTCCTATCTGCTTATCAGATTTTTCCACCAAACAAATGCAAGAGTTTACTTAAATATAAAAAATTCACCTCAACTACATGCCTTGCTAAAATTATAAAACCGACAGTGTGGAAAGGAGAAGCAGAAAGAGATAGTAAGATACAGAGAGATATTAACTGAAAGTATTGCCTCTTTATTTTAGCATACCATAGGCGTATGACATGAATTTTCATCAATAACATCTTCGACTTGTATAATAATATTGTATTATATTATAAACTCTAAAATAAATGGGTACATCTAAACCTGAATATTTTTATATTATAATACAGTAAAATAGTCATTTTACTGTATTATTTTACTGACTATTTTACTGTATTATAATATAAAAATATTCAGGTTTAGATGTACTCATTTATTTTAGAGTTTTATTAACTTGGTGGATTCTGAATTTTTGATATTCTTTAAAGTAGCAATTGTTGAAAATATAGACTATTCTCATTGTTACTTACTTATTGATTAAAGAAGAAACTGTGGGTTTTGGGATAAGTCAAATTCTCCTGTCTATTTATTCGGAACATCATTCTTTTCTTAATTATACAGGTCATAACTCTTGTATTTCTCCTAAGGTTGTGTTTTGCTTTAGTGAATAAACAATTATAATTGTATTCTGTGATAAATGTTAGAACTATGAAAAAAAATGATGAGACAAGACTTCCCAAACTACTGAGGCTTGTAAAATTAACTCTGGGAATTTTTGGTTTGCTAACTCATGACAACTCCAGATGACCAATGTGTCAAATAATGGTGATGCTTAGATCCCTGGAGTCATATGTTTAACAAACAAAAATATGTAATCAGATCTCTAATGTACTGATTTATACTGTTTGTTTTATCTGATTGCCTGTGTAGTTTAACATTATTAAATGATGTTTTTTATTTATTTTTGAATGTTAAATTTAAAATAAAATTTCTGATTACATGAATAGTACAAAAAATATGTATTTGAAATGTGACAATATCTTTAAGTTCTACAAATAATAAAACATATGGTAGTCAGAAATTACACATCTTTAAAAAATAGTAGATATTTTAACCAAAATCAAAAAATAATTTTTTTAAAAAATTAGCCAGGTGTGTTGGCGTGCACGTGTGGTCCTATCTACTTGGGAGGCAGAGGTGGGAGAATCACTTGAACCTGGGAGGTCAAGCATGCAGTGAGCCACGGTCATGCCACTGCATTCCAGTCTCTCTGACAGAGTGAGACCCTGTCTCAAAACAAAACAAAACAAAAACCCCACCATCTTGATTCATTTTTATTTAATAATTATTAAGTGTCTTTATGCAATTTCATGATTGTGCAAACATCATAGAGAATACTTACATAAACCATGATGGTGTGGCCTACTGTATGGTATAGGCTATTGCTCCTAGAATAAAAACCTATACAAAGTGTTATTACACTGAATACTGTAGGTAATGGTAGCACCATGGTAAGAATTGTATATTTATATATATCTAAACAAAAAAAGTACAGTAAAAATATAATATGAGAGATAAAAAATGGTACACCTGTATAGGTCACTTATCATGAATTAAATTTGCAGGAATGAAAATTGCTCTGGGTGACCCAATGAATGAGTGGTAAGTGTGCAGGCCAAAAGCATGACTGTACACTACTGTCAACTATGTAAACCCTGCACTCTTAAGCTACACAAACTTACTTTTAAAAATGTCTTTAATAATATGTTGAACTTAGCTTACTGTAACTTTTTTATTTTATAAAATTTTTAACTTTTTGACATTTTGTAATAATACTTAGCTTAAAAAACACACGTATTTACATCTGTACAAAATATTTTTTATATTCTTACTTCTAAAAATGCTTTTATTTTTAATATTTTAATTATTTTTTACTGTTTAATCTTTTTTGTTAAAAACCTAGACACAAGTATATACATTATCCTAGGCCTATACCAGGTCAGAATTATCAAGATGTCACTAGGCAGTAGGAATTGTTGAGCGTCATTATGTTCTTCTGGGGTGACTGTCATATATGGAGTTCGTTGTTGACTGACATGTTGTTATGCAGTGCATGACTGTATTTATATTATTCCCTGTTTCTGTTGAAGGAAAGATAAACATAATTACATAGGAATAATAACCAAGACATATTCCATTACATGAAGAAATTAATACTACTTTGATATTGCATATAAAACAAGAGACAAATAAATGTGTAGACAAGCCAGTTTCCTTGATTATAAAACACATAGCAAGTTTTGCTTTATTTAAAATATTAATAAAAGTTTAAACAAGGAAGATGCATGAAAATGTCTTAAACTATAAGCAGGAAATACATATAAATTATAGCAATATATAATGTATATTTGTCACTGCATTAGATTTCAAAGCCAGAGAGTAAACATAATGAAAAATGTGTAAGGTGATCTAAGTGTACCTACATGTAGTATGTTTTCACTAGGTATTTCAAATAATTTGACAAAAGCTTAAGTCATCCCAGTCAAAGAAAAAGACAAATCTTCTAAGATTCCACTAATATGAAGTTTCTAAAGAAGCAAAACCATAAAGACAGAAAGTGGAAAGGTGGTTACCAAGGGAGGGGGAGAGGGTGGATTGAGTATTAGTATTTAATCGTTATACAGTTTCATTTCTAGAAGTCTGTTGCACAACTACATGAATATGCTTATTGATATACTTAACAACTCTGAAATGTACACTTAAAAGAGGTTCATATGGTAAATTTATTGTTTTATCATGATTTCTTAAAATACATTAAAATTTAAGGGTAAGATACAATCTGGGAAAAGTATTTTTAATGTGCTTACCTGACGAACAATTTATATAAAGAATATACAAAAATTCTGCAAATCAATAACCAAAGCCCAAAGATAAAATCTAGAAAAATCCTGGCAGTTTCTCAGAGTAGAGGAGATGGAGTTCCACTCAAACTCAACTTCTAGAGATGAAAACTATAATAGGACAATCAGATGGAAAATATGCAGGAACGAATGATGGTAGAAAAGACATTGAAGAGGAAAAGAATAGAGGACTTGAAGATGCAGCAATGGAAACTATCCAAAGTGAAACAAAAGGGGGAAAATACTAAAAATAGAAATCAGTGACAAAGAGAGAACTTCAAGCAGCCTAATAATAATGTTTCCATAAAGGTGGAGGTGTACAAAAAAAATCTGAAGCTATAGTCGTCCAAAATTTTCCAAATTTCATTATAACTGTAGATACAAAAATTTAAGAAGCACGACCAATCCCATGTACGAGAATCATAAAGGGAACTGTAACAAAACACGTCTTAACCAAATTGCTTAAAACAAGTAAAAATAGAATGTCTGTCAAAAATGGAGAAAGAAAAACACATTCAAGGAAGATGAAAAAAGTTAAATGTAAGAGCAGATTTCTGGTTAGAAATAACACAAAATAGGAAACTATTGATTAATATCTTTAAAATATAAAAAGAAAGCAATCATACTAAAATCCTTATGCAGCAAAAAATATATTTGAAAGACAAAGTTTAAATAAAGACATTTTCAGACACATAAAACATGAGAGATTGATTGAGTCTGTCATGCAAGCCGGAAGCCAGGGGCTATATGGCTCCACCTGGCGGTTCTGGAGTCTTAGTCCACAGGTACTGGTCTGGAATATCGGGCCATGGGGTCAGCTTGGTACTGAGTTTTACTGTGGTGGGCCCAGTGTCTGGGACCAAGCAAAGTCCTGTGTTCACTTCCCCCTGCTTTCCCCAGGCAGTCAGTATTTTTCTCTGGGCTTGCTGCCTGGGATTGGGGACAGGCCATGTAAAACTGCCCTTCCTTCCTTCTTCAATGATTCTTTTCTTCTTATTTTTCCACAACCAGGTACTGTGATCTCTCACCTGGTTTCTTTAGCTCTTGTGAAGATACTTGTGTATGTGGATAGTTTTCCAAATTGATATTTCTGTGGGGTGAGGGTGGCATGGACCTCATATTAAGCTTAATGAAAAGAATGCAGAGGTGTCTATATGAAAATTGGTGCCTATATGAAAATTAGTGTCTTAGTCCCTTCCTGCTGCCATATTGAAATGCCTTAGATTGAATAATATATAAATAATAGAAATTTCTCACAGTTCTGAAACAGGGAACTTCAAGACCAAGACTCCAGCATATTCAGTGTCTTGTGAAAGTACACTATGCTTCAAAGATGGCACCTTGTTGCGGCATCGTCAGAAAGCAAAGTGTAGGTGCCTCATGTAACAGAAAGGCAAAAAGGGACAGAGGACCTAGCTATTTCCTCTAATGCTTTTACAAGGTGCTAATCCCATCAATGAAGGCAGAGCCCTCATGGTCTTATCACCTCTTAAAGGCACCATCTCTTTATACTGATGCATTTGGGGTTAAGTTTTAATATAAATTTTGGAGCGGACACGTTTAAAACCATAAAGAAGCCTCAAAGATGTTTAAATATATATCAAGTTGACTGCTATATGTGTTGAAAAAGTCTGAGAACTTTATAGAAGTCACTAAATAACTGGGGAGTCATCCTGCTTCTTTACACTTTTGAGGCTAGCTTGTTTTATATATTTAAAATATTAATTTAATTTAGAAATTAATTCCAGAGAATGTCTTCTCACTCATTTCTATGGAGTTTTGATAAGAATTCCCTTAAATTAAGTAGCCAAGGACAGCTAAGGCTATACTGAATAAAGTATAAAATGTGAATTTTCTTTTTTTAGAAGAGAATGAGCATATCATAAATTATTACTAAAATTTGTTCACATTACAGTAATATAAAATTGGCATTAAAATTTTTTTATAAAAATATTTTATGTGTGGTTACAACTGAAAGATATTTTAAGAATATTCTTTCCTAACTCAGCAAAAATCATCTAATTGTAAATTTAATAGCATCTCATAAATTTGAGTCTAACATTATAAATTTATTAATTATATTTATTTAATTTTAATAGTTTATATTTCATAGAGTTAAAGAAATATGTGTATGTGTCTGTGTTTGTGTGTGTATTTTTTTTTCATTTTATTCCATTGTATTCTAATTTGACCCCCAAAAAGAAGTCCTTTGCTAGGAAACAAGTTGTCCAATGTATTTATTTCAATTAAATGCATGATGCCTCACATGGGAAGCATAAATTAACCTAAATCTTAAACATGGCATACAATACTGTGTAAAAAGGCTGAGTTTCAAGAAGAAGAACACTAGTAAAATATAAAGTTTTATAAAATGTAATAAGACAACTTTGAATCATATATTGGAATTTTTAGTAAAGAAAATAATTTCAAATTTATGTGTGGAAGAAGAGGAAACAACATTTATTTATTGTCAAAGTTCAAAGAAGACAGAGGATGAGTAAAGAGTATTCTGAGAGGTAGAAGAAATAGAAAATTAGTGATTAAGTTTATATGAGGCATAGGATACATAAATAAGAATATATTTGGTTCCAAGCTTTTGTCATGGGGGTATGCTGCTACTGTCGACTCCAAGACAGGTGAAGAATAATTTGAAGTATGGACAAAAGTTTGATGGGTAACCAATCTGGTTTCATTTATTTTAAAATATGTCTATATGAATGAAACAAATACCAGACCCCAAACTTGCTCTAGAAGGAAGCAGCATGAGAAAACTTCATATCACACAAAGAGCAAATATTGTTCCCAAATATATGTATATAAACAGAAGTGTTTCTGGACCCTATTGTGTATTTCTTTTGTTTTTATCTGTTTACCTATTTCTGCCTATTCCTACACACATTTTTATAGTTATAGATGATTAAAATCTTTGCAGCTGGGTCTGGTGGCTCATGCCTCTAATCCTAGCACTTTGGGAGGCCAAGGCGAGCAGACCACCTCAGCCCAGGAATTCTAGACCAGTCTGGAAAACATGGCAAAATGCTGTCTCTACAAAACACACAAAAATTAGTGGGAGTGGTGGGCATACTAATTTCTCCCAGCTACTCAAGAGGCTGAAGTGGGAGGACAGCTTGAGCCCAGAAGGTGGAGTTTGCAGTGACCCATGATCTGGAATCTGCACTCCAGTCTGGGCGACAGAGCACTCCAGTCTGTTTCAAAAAAAAAAAAAAAAAAAAAAAAGACAAAAAGACAGACAGAAAGAAAACCTTTAAAATCTGACACAGAGACATTTTATTTAGATTCTTTCAAAAAATTTAGCTTCAGGGCTCTCACAAATTCATTGATTCATAATATTCTTACCACCTTATCAAGTTCCATGAAGAGTATTATTTACATGATAATTAGGAGTCCTTTTAATTCATATATTAATTTTCATACAATAGCAGCATCACAAAATCAAATTTTCTCATAAAGCTTTTGGTGTTTTTCTCTGATTCTTTAAGAGCATTTTATTCCTCAGAGAAAAATGTTAGTTATTTTTAATGAATCTACATGTACCAGTTACACAGTGTACTTTAAATGTGATTTTTATAATTACATGACATTCAAATTTTATTTGAATATTCAATGATATTCAATATTTTAAGATTATTTACTGGTACCTAATTGTTTAACCATGGACAAGATGAATAAAGCATTATCAACATTACTTGTTTATGATTATTACTTTTACATATTCAGAAATGTAAATAATTTTGTGATGCATTATCAACATTACTTGTTTATGATTATTACTTTTACATATTCAGAAATGTAAATAATTTTGTGATTTACATAGCTTTTCACCTTAATAAACTTTTATTGCTAATAATCTGTATAGTTAACATAGTTGATTAATATTCTAATTTTGTGTCATTATTGCGTTATTGAGGTCAGTTATACTAGACTCATTTATAATAGTCTTTAAATGCATTATGATTCAATTCACACTCTACTGTGCACCTAAAGTGTGACATTGATAGTCTATGTGTCTCTTTCTTCTTGTTTTGACTTTACAAGTATGCATTAGCAATAAACAAATTAATAAAATGCTGAGGTGTGGTGACAACTAGTGTATGGCCTTAGAAACACTTTCCAGGTATAACTCCATTGCTGTGATTTTCATAGTGTTAAAGAGTGGTGTCAAATGCAAGTGCCACATACATCTTTTGTGGCAACTAATTACCTCAGATATTATAATACAAAAGCAGCCATGTGTAATATGTAAATAAATAAGTGTGATTATTTTCTAACAAAGCAGTAGTATTCATACAGAAGTTGAATTCATGTAACTTTTATGTGTCACAAAAAATTAGACCTCATTGGAAATTTTCAATAATTTTAAATTTTTTAAAAAAAGCATTCTTAACTAGGGGGCAATGCAAACACAGGTTGTCAGATCTGAGCCACAGGCCTTTATTTGTCAGTCCCTGTGTTAATTTAATCTCTTCCTGAAGACAAGGTCCTTTCGACACAGAGTTCTTTTTCCCCCTACTTTTCCTGAGCTGTAGACAAAGACATTTTAATGAGTCATAGGAACTGGAAATCTTTCCCTAAACCTCAAGCTTGACTAACACTGATGCTGCCTAACAAATTATCACAGTCATTATTCTTAACAAATGTTTTGCCAAGGTATAGTGGCGTTTCATTTTTAGTCTCCATATCAGCTTGGTTGGTGCACAACTTCTGACCACTGAGTAATGTCCTGAATTTCACTTTCTTTGTTGTCATTATAACATATGTTTTTCTTGGAGCACCGTCCTTCAAAGTATCCATTTCAATCAAATATAAACTAGGTTAAATTGCTTAAAAATGCTAAAAACCTATAATTACTTATTGCAATAGAATTTTGTATCTTTACTCCAAATAAGATAATACAGTTTGGTGGGGAAAGTGGTCTTCAAATAATGCCTTTGTCATCATCTTCTCCTTCATGAAAGAATAAGGAGGTGAACACACAAGAGGCTTCATCTGCGATGCCCGGAAATGATGCATGTTTCTTCCGCTGCCTTTCCATCAGTTAGCCATATGGTAAGATTAAAGTAAAATCAGAGATTTATGGACAGCTATCCTCACAGCAACTACAGGTTTCTTCGGTATGCAATCTGACTAGTAAGTTATCTTTTGCTTTCCACGCCAAAATAAGTGACAATTTATCCTGAAATGTCGAAACTATTAGACCACAATAGTGCTTTTTTTTTTCGATTTATTTAGAGATCAAATGATTGACACTTTGCATGTGTGTAATTAGCATGTGTGTAATTCCTTTTTTTTTTTTTTTTTTTGAGATGAAGTCTCGCTCTTTCGCCCAGGCCATTACAGTGGCGCTATCTCTGCTCACTGCAACCCCCACCTCCCAGGTTCACGCCATTCTCCTGCCTCAGCCTCCCGAGTAGCTGGGACTACAGGCGCCCGCCACCGCGCCCGGCTAATTTTTTGGTATTTTTAGTAGAGACGGGGTTTCACCATGTTAGCCAGGATGGTCTCGATCTCCTGACCTCGAGATCCGCCCGCCTCAGCCTCCCAAAGTGCTGGGATTACAGGCGTGAGCCACTGCGCCTGGCCCCAGGTTTTCAGTTACTCTGATCACTAATATAGTGTGCACAAAAAAGTCGAAAGAAATTCCATAGTCTTTCCACTGACAACCATTTAATTCAAGTTAATTCAGTTCAATTCAATTCAATTCAACTCTTCTTTCCCAAAGCTTGTTCCTGGTGTGTGTTATTGCCAGATCTGATTGTAATACATTCTGAAGTTTGGCTGGAAAAAGGGACTCCCTCTTTCACTACATATTTATTCTCCCAGTATTCTGGGCCTTACATCTAATAATTTTTGTCATCAGTCACTAAAATCTCATCAGTTTTGTAATTTTTTGAAAATTTAGGAAAATGTATAATTTGACTTTGATTCTTTCATTTTAAATTAAATATTACATTTCTACCCTATTCTTTTGATAGTACTTGGGGATGCAGTGGAGGAGAATTTGTTCTTACTTTTCCATCTCAAAGATATGTTTGCCTTTGAGTAAATTCAGAGTAAAATATTTTTTAAAATAAATTGTTCACCATTATAGAAAAAAGTCATGAATCTATTAGGATTAGATTGAAATAGAATAATTTGTGAAAGTAAAATAAGTTGGAGTTATGACAATATATGACTCCATGTTCTTTAAATAACACTTTATATGTAATTTTACATTATAACTTAATAAGATGTTTCACTACCAAACATATACGCTTTTGTTACTAATCCTTCCAAAAGTTATTGAGAAACATTTTTCTTAAAATAAATTTCAAGAAAAAGGTAGTTTTATAAAAGATTGATTTACAGATATACTTCTTAATTATTTCAGTTTCTAGAAGTGACATATTTAATGCTTCCTCAAATACAGTTTAGAAAAGATCGAGTAAATTGAGTGACATGCAATATATTTGTTCAATGTCAAAATACATGTCTGGCTGATTGAGTTGCATCCCAAATATAGAATGCAAAGTTCACCTAATGGAAAATATAGTTGAGCTGACAGGAGTGAAGTTTACTGGTCAGTAGTCATTATTAAAAGAAAACACCAACAAACCAAGCAAAAACAGATGCAATCATAAAACATATAATGTCAAAAAAGAGAAAATTGAGACACCACACCATCTAACAATTTCTCTTTAACTTATATAAATGATAGGCCCACCAAGTAGAATAATTTGTACAAAATCACATTACTCAGTAATTGAATAAATTAAGAAAACAAATATCTCCTTATGACATTACCATACACTGCTTTGCTTTTTATTTTATTACATTTTATGTCTTGCAAAATAAATTATTTTTAGCTACAACAATTTTTGTGCAGGAGACTGGGATCTGAGACACTGGACCTTGTCAAAAGCCTCACTAATCCATTCAGACACCATAGCCAGAGATATGCATTGACACACAGGTAAAATGGATGGTGAAGCACCAGGAGAAATAACAGCAGGAGATTAGTAAACACATTCAGGCTTGAAGGGATAAAGGGAGTGAATGGTGTTGCCAGAACATGACTGTTTATTTTTTTTTCCTAGAGCATTGCAAGAATATTTCATTTCTGTTTTATAATTTTTGTAAAGCAAATTTGTATGCTTTGCTTCATAATTTTGAATGTACTTTTAACTCTGTTTCTTCCTTTTTTTTTTTTTTTTTTTTTTTTTTGAGATGGAGTCTTGCTCTTTCGCCCAGGCTGGAGTGCAATGGCGCAATCTCGGCTCACTGCAACCTCCGCCTCCCAGGTTCAAGCGATTCTCCTGCCTCAGCCTCCTGAATAGCTGGGATTACAGGTGTGTGCCACCACTCCCGGCTAATTTTGTATTTTTAGTAAAGACAGGGTTTTGCCATGTTGGCCAGGCTGGTGTTGAACTCCTGACGTCAGGTGATCCTCCCTCCTCGGCCTCCCAAAGTGCTGGGATTACTGGCGTAACCCACAGCACCCAGCCTCCATTTTTAACATATAAAATAATACATGATAGAGACAATGTCATATTTTTGCATTTTTCTAATACTAAAGATGTGATTGTGCTCATAGTGAGTGCTCAATATCTATTGATGTCATTACATATTACATATAAATAATATTTACATTTATTTGCATTTCAGAAATTATATTTTATAAAGCTCAGGTTTATCAAAGTGTTCATGTTTTGAGAACTATGATATTAAACAGATGTTATTTCTTAAAGTTCTTCCCAAACATGATATACTTGTCAAAGAAAATTGTGCACCAGGCAAAACAAACAGACAAGAAGGACTTTAAGACTATTGCAATAGGATTTAGGACTACTGCAATAGGGAGGAGATATTGAACTGAACTCAAGTTGAAACAAAAAGAGGGAGAGTTTTTAAGCACTGGGATGAGCTAGTGAAAAGTACTGGAGGACATAATGAGAGAGGCTGGTAATGTGATGAGTCATTCTGTCTTTGCTAATTGGCAGTTTTCAATTTTTAGCTCTTGCTCTCTCACAGAGAAAGAGTTGCTACCTTTATTGATTGCATTTCGAACAGATGGCTCCCAGGTCCTTAAGAAAGACATTGCTTGCTTGTAAAACCAGCAGAAGGCTGTGAAAAAAATTTATATGTCAATGGAACAAAGACAAATTTACAATTCAACTTTTCTAAAAATGAATGCTCTTTTAAAAAGGGAGGTCAGGGACCTGTAATGAGGAAAAATTCTAAAATTTAGTCAATCTCAGGGGAATATTAAGGCTGTTTTGATTACTATCTAACATGTATTGAGTTAATAAAATTGAAAGAGCAAGTAGTTATTTGCTTTAAAAAAGCAAATAATTATTACAGGTAGGATTTTTAATTAATTTAATGTAAGTATTTGGCCACAGAGTTCTTTAACAGAACTAATGTCCCATGGTGAAGGATTTGGAAAATTCTGACATAATTTATACGGTTACTGATAAAATTTTACAGGTCTTATGGAAAGAAGGTAGTTGATATCTTTCTCCCAGAAATAGTTATAGAATATAAAACTGAGTATAAAAATATAATACTAAGAATAAAACCATCTGAACCAATATCTATTCCTAGTATAACACTAAAACCCACATAATGTGAAAAAACATATTAATTCTTCTCAATAGCATTTCCTACAACTGCTGTGTGATTTCTAATTTCTTCTCATTATTACTTATATGATTATTCATTTGCATTAAGAATAAAAACATAGCTAGAAATGGAAATAAAAGTAGGAGATAAAATAGGAAATGAGCACATTCAAAAAGAGAACATTAGCAAATGGGTTGTGTGAAAATGAATAAAACAATTGCATTTACAGTCATGCATGACTTAATGACAGGGATACATTCTGAGCAATGCATCCTTAGGTGATTTCACTGTGTGAACATCATGGAGTCATAGAATGTAATTATAGAAACCTAGATTGTTTAACCAACTACACACTTGGACTATATTGTATAGCCTATTGACCCTTGGCTACAAGCCTGTACAACATCTTACTGAACAGAATACTGTAGGCAATTGTAATACAATGTTGAGTATCTGTGTATCTAAATACGTTTAAACATAGAAAAAGTACAGTAAAAATATGATATCATCTTTGGGGAATCACCATCATATGTGTGGTCTATTATTGATTGAAATATCATTATGCAGCAAATAACTGTATTTCTTAATTCATACACAGTCTACTAATTTTGAGCAATAATTTGAAAGAAACACTATATCTCTTTTATCTTCACATATATACACATATATATATGGAAAAGCATTCTACATGCATTATACATTATATACTGTGTGCTCTCTCATTTAAAAATGAATTACTTGCTAGATGTATTTTATAAAGTTGAAAATATATTTGACTAAAATTGGAAATATCTGTATTAAGAAATTTTCATGTGAATGAACACATTAGAAGGAAAATATCTTTAGAAAATATAACTGGTAGGGTGAATAGAGAAATGTGGCATATGAATATATTTTAACAATGGTTTTCATTGTACCTTAAAGATATCTCTCTGTCAGCTTTCTACATATGGCTAGCCAGTTTTCCCAGCACCATTTATTAAATAGGGAATCCTTTCCCCATTGCTTGTTTTTCTCAGGTTTGTCAAAGATCAGATAGTTGTAGATATGCGGCGTCATTTCTGAGGGCTCTGTTCTGTTCCATTGATCTATATCTCTGTTTTGGCACCAGTACCATGCTGTTTTGGTTACTGTAGCCTTGTAGTATAGTTTTAAGTCAGGGATTATAGGCGTGAGCCACCACGCCTGGCCAAATCCCAGTGTTCATTTTAAAAAATCATCATTGTGTGTGACAGCGTTATCAAAAGCAACAGCAAAATACTTTTAGCTCTTTTTTTTTTAAATCCTCTCCTCCTTCATTAGGACTACTAAGGAAAAAGCAGGAATTTAAAGAGACTCATAACAGACCTTCCTCCTTCCAGTTGTTAACCAGGTTAATCAGACTCATTCCAGTTGTTAGCTTCCTTCCTTCCAAAGAGGAAGAAGTGTCCTTTCTGTTGGCCTCTAGTGTGTTGGGGAAAGGGCCACGTGTTGGGAGGAGGGCCTTTATTAATGGGATCACTCCAGTAGCTGTCTCATTTGCTTTCCAGTTTGCAGCTGTCCCGTGATCTGATTATTTGAATCTCAGCCTCAGAACTGACTTGCCTTTGTTTCTGGTTCAAGAAACCCTAGTTAGAATGGGAAAGCTCAGCCACACTGTTCAAGTTAAGCACATCGCAGTGGGGAAACATGAACCTCAAGACTGCTGTGCCAGGGTTAGAATTTTCAAAGTGAATGCTTTTGCCGGTGTTGTGCTTTTGTTTACTTCTGGGGCTGGTTGTGGTGTTAGCCTCACATTTGCTCAGCCGTTTTCCTGGAGTGATTTACCATAACATTTGGTCCAATAAAAAGGAAATTAAATATCAAAAAAAATAAATAAATAAAAATAAAAAATAAAGATATCTCTCATACTCAGAGGAAAGATATTTGTTGTTGTTATTTTCTTTGTTGGATAAGAACAAAGGTTATACTTTTTTATTCTTCTGTTTAGTATTATTACTATAAAATAAGCAACAATTTACAAAATGGATTTTGATCCGAAATCTTAAGGACATGGACAGCTTAGTGCAGCACAGCACAGCACAGACACTTGCCTACTTAGCTCTAATATTTCTCCAATGACCATATCCATTCTCTTTTCCTCAGATAGAAAATATACATATTCTGAACTATATTTTAATAAATTTATGGTGTGAAAATTCTTATTAAAATATATTTTCTGAACTGAACTTCAAACTTTTAGGAGCATGCAATTCAATCTCAATTGTACTAACAAGAATATTATAAGCATAAATAGGAAAAGATTGACAAACAATTACAAGAATAAAGTAGAAAAAAATTGTATACCAAATTATTGAGTAAAATTACGGAGATTATATTTTCCTGGGAAAAATTACCAGTGATATGTACACAAGTGAATGAAAGAATAAATGTAAAAAAAGAAAAGACAAAATTATAAGAATTGACAAAAATTAAGGTGTCAATATTGGATGGTACAGTGATTTGAAAACCTCAGAAAATAGGAGACAAAAAAGCTCACTCTACATATTTTAAGAAAAGAATAATCTAATATTGAAATTAAAATATAGGTGAAAAAAGCAAAAATGTTATAAACTAATATTAGCCTGAACACAATACAAATCTAACAATGCTTTAACAAGGTGCAATTCTATATAGCAGAAGGATAAATTTCTAGATACAAAGTTCAACATCAAAAGGAAATGTATATTAAATACTTTATAAAATTATTTAACAAAATTATTATATTGAATAACAACATGGGGTAATTTGTGCAGGTTAGTGTAAAAATATACATATTCATAAAGTACCCAAAGCACATTTGCAAAATGTGTTATCTATGTCAGAATAGGCCCTAAAAATTACCTCCCCTATGGATATATTTGAGACTTCCTAACCAACCCAGCGCTTAGTCATTGGGCCCAGGCACAAAATGGCCACAGTGACTGGAATGAGTTCATAAATATTTTATCTAAACAAATACAATTACACTTTAAACACAGCTAATATCCAGTCCATCAACTACAGAGACAAACTTGAGCTCTTGATAAGACACCATTCTTCCAGGGTAATAAATTATCTTGCTAGTGGCAGATTGATTCCCTCAGATTTGCTTTCTCTGAGCACAGTCCTTGTCAGCATGTCCCTTTCTTGGCTAACAAAACTCCTTATTAATTGCCGTGGTAATACCCATATGTGCTATTTTTCACCCCCCTTACTCAATATTTTTGGTTCAATGAATTTGGATATTTTAGGACAAATGCTTCTACCAAGAAAGGTTATTATAATTCTGATGAACTAAATATATATATATGTGTATACATATATATATGTGTGTGTGTATATATATATATATATATATATATATAATGGGATATTTACATGCCATTATTTATATGTCATTATATGTAGAAGCCAAGACTACTCTATGAGTATTTTGAGTTTCTCATGAAGTTGAGATACCAAG